>NC_000011.10:50212269-50364539 GCF_000001405.40 Homo sapiens
CACAAGAACAGTATGGGGGAAGCCAACCCATGATTCAATTATCTCCACCAGGCCCCTCCCACAACATGTGGGAATTATGGGAGCTACAATTCAAGATGAGATTTAGGTGGGGACACAGCAAAACTATTTCACGTGGCCAACAAATGCTTTATATTATAATTATTCTTGTTTGAGTACTGGTATGATATGAGGCTGGAAACCAGATGGAAATCAAACATTTTAGAAATTCATCCCAAAAATCATTTAGTGGAAGGGAGGTGTAGTCATGACTCCAGAGGCACAGTCAGGCAAAAAGCCACATCCCAAGTATTAAAAGCCTGCAAAAATTGCAAGGTGTTGATTAGAGGTCAAAACAAAAAATCTGCAAACATATCAAGAACAACAGAAACCATAATATAGTTGTCCAAGCAAGGGCAGGTTCTGGAAGAAATAATCCTGAATGTGAACCACAGGTCAGGAACAAAGAAACCCAGGGAAGGTGGTAGAAGCAGGAAAGTGGGAGTGACATGGAGATACCAACTAAAGACAACTGCTTTGGTCTGGACTGCTTTCAAGAAGCTCTCCATGTCAGCTCCTATTCCCTGATGTCCTAAAATAACATCTGACATGCAACAAGTAGAAAGGATTCATCAAAAGGGTACAAGTTGGAGCAGGCTTATTGGACATTTACTCAAGACAAAAGCTCATCTTGGAGATTTCCAAGAGCCACTTTCTTTTTTCTTTTCTTTTCTTTTTTTTTTTTTTTTTTTTTTGAGATGGAGTCTCACTCTATTACCCAGGCTGTAGTGCAATGGCATGATGTCAGCTTACTGCAACCTCCACCTCCCAGGTTCAACCAATTCTCCTGTCTCAGCCTCCCAAGTAGCTGGGATTACAGGCACGAGCCACCACACCTGGCTAATTTTTGCATTTTTAGTAGAGTTAAAGTTTCACTATGTTGGCCAGGCTGGTCTTGAAAGCTTGGCTTCAGGTGATCCACCTGCCTAGGCCTCCCAAAGTGCTGGGATTACAGATATGAGCCACGACGACCAGACAAAGAGGTCAAAAGTGTCTATGAAAGTATAAACACTTTGCTTATTGATAAATGAAGTTCCTTCCACAAAATAGCCTTATCTTTTCACGTTAGAGTTCTGCAGGTGTCATCACCTCACAACACATAAAATAACACCAACCATTGTCTATTGATTGTGACAATGCTTGTTCCTGTCTCCTGGGACACATATGTGAGCACTTTAAGTTGAACTTTGCAAATGGCTTTCTGAGACTGAGCTTGACCAGAGCTGACCTTAGTTGGATCAAAGCAGAAAAAAGCAATAGATCAGTTCACTGCAAGGCCAAGAGGAGAGGAGGTTTTTACTTCCCCAAGTGGAGGTGAGTCAGAGGAACAAATTCTAGTCCCACTTCTAACACTATCTAGCCAGGTCAGCATACGCAACTCACTTCAATTCTCTGAACTTCACCCAATCTCAAAGGGATGCTGTTGTAACTCAGACAATGGTGACATCAATGATCCTTCCCCTTAAACTCTAGATTTTAACATTGTTTTGCAACCTCATTCCCTTAATTGTGGATAGCCCATTGTCTCTCCCAAAGACTTGTGAAGATTATGGGCAGGCTTCCATTTCCTTGCCACCTTTGGCTTAAAGCTTTGTCATTTACTCTTGTCATGATATATTATCAGTACAAAATGATGTTGCTTCCCATTATCCAGACACAGAAACCATCTCTTCCCCTTGATTTCCCTCAAACCCACTAACACAAGACCTTTGTATTTGTAGCAGACTTCTGGATATTCAAATACAAACAATTAAAAATAGGATCTTTAACTTCTTTCTTCTCAAAGTTCATTATTGAACATCTCCTAAGACAGATCCTCTTTCTCTTCTCTGTTCTCCTCTGAATTTGTATTCTTTCTGTTGTAGAATAGCTTACTCATATCTTTTTAGCACCATCTCCTTCCAACCTCAACTTGCATTCTACACTGAGTGGCTCATTGTGGGGGTTCAGTCAGGCTGGTGGGAAAAGTTTTAGTTATAATAACCACAAACCCTCTTGGAAGGCCTGAGAGTTTGCATAACTTTGGTAATAGATCTGGCTGAAGGCAGCCAGAGTCCCTTTGCAGGAGCCAGAGAGCTTAGGGTGCAAATACAAAGGAATGTAGAGTAGTTTATCTAACTAACTTGTTTACTCATGTGGTCCTAAGACTAACCTTTGATTTACCGCGGGTGCTTAATTGCTTTTTACTCTGAAAGTCCACAATGTCAATTACCCTCTAGTGGTGTTGACTCGAGCCTTTGTCAATTAAACTTCACTGAATAAACGCGAGTCTCACTGGCTGGTCAGGGCTGTGGTTACAACTAAGTGGCATGGATGCTCAGTAGAACTGGCAAAGCAGAATATCTGTGTATCAGTGTATTTTATTCGTCCATTATTGGGTCAGTGTCTGCAGGACAGACCCCCCCCCAGATCATAAATGTCATTCCCTAAGCAGAGATACCCTCCTCTCTAAAAACACTTCTGGGCTGGGTGTAGTGGTGCAGTCTTGTATTCCCAGCACTTTGGGAGGCTGAGGTGGGAAGCCCACTTGAGCCCAAGAGTTCAAGGCTGCAGTGAGCTATGATCTTCTGACTCTTGTCTTTAGATATTAACTGTTTATATCTTTATTTAAAGAACTTACAGTAACAGTAGACATAACTACTGGCCAAATTCTCAGGGACTTCTGAGCATTCATAATGCTCAGCACTTATAATGCACTAGGAATTGTGCTGAGAATTTTCACATCAGTCAATTCACACATTGCCTTCAAAGCTCCCAAACGTGGGGTCGACATCCTAAACTGAGTTCAACCTGAGGAATCCATCAACCTGACTCATTCTAAGGTCACATCATATAGAGTGGTTTGGAGTTTGGAATTTGTTCCCACAGGATTAACTGTAGTGAAAATATCCCGATGTTATAGAAGAATGAACAAGAAGAGAAGGAGGAAGAGGAAGATGAGATCTAATGTGAATCTGACTCAATTTCTTGCAGAACTATTTGAGTAAAACTAGCAGTGGAAATGTCCACAGATAAATCAAGATGTTTCTGACATAGGAATAAGAAACTGCAGTTTTCGTTCAAGGGCAATGTGTCTATGCTGGAGAGGAAGGCTGGAGATCGAGCATAGAAAGGTCTCTGTTCCTGGGGCCTAGTGCAGTATCCATGATTCCTACTGAAGACACAAGGCAAAGGGGTTGCAGAAAAGAACTGTATAAATACCTGCTGCAGTAGCTTTAGTGGGAAGATCAGTGGGTACCACTGCAGAGGCTCCTCTGGTGGGCTGCAGTGGCAGTGCCTTTGCAAACATTGATGGAAGTGTTGCCATTTGGGAAGAACATTTCAGCAGGAAACATCGCCATAGGCAACTCTGGGAAGAAGCTTTGAGAAGAGAGGGGAAAAGGGGACATTACAAGTGCCTCTTGGAAATTCCCAGAACATTCTGTGGGCTGTTTGAGGGGGCTACATTTTTGCAGATCATGTGAAAGTTGATCCAGAAGAATACTTTTCGTAAGAATATTGTCTTTAAAAAATTATTTTACAAGAGTTTTGTATTCACACAAAAAATGAGAAGGTAGTGAAAGTAACCATATAACTCACTCCTATTTTTCCTATTATTAACACTTTACATGACTAGATAATTTATTATAATTAATGAACTAACACTGATACATTATTAACTAAAGTCCATACTTGGTTTAGATTTCCATAATTTTTTTTTAGATGAAGTTTTGCTCTTATCACCCAGGCTGGAGTACAATGGTGCGATTTCAGCTCACTGCAACCTCCACCTCCCATGTTCAAGTGATTCTCCTGCCTCAGCCCCCCAGGTAGCTGGGATTACAGGCATGTGCCACCATACCCAGCTAATTTTTGTATTTTTAGTAGAGACGGGGTTTCGCCATGTTGCCCAGGCTGGTCTCGAACTCCCGACCACAGGTGATCCACCCACCTCGGCCTCCCAAAGTTCTGGGATTACAGGCATGAGCCGCTGTGCCTGGCCGATTTCCATAATTTTTACCTAACGCCCAAGAGGTAGTAAATTTATTGTAATTAATGAACCAATGTTGATATATTATTAACTAATGTCCATACTTTGTCTAGATTTTCTTCATCTTTACCTAATGTTCAAGATTTCATCCACGATGCCACATTTAGTTGTCAAGTCTTTTTAGACTCCTTTTGGCTGTGGTGGTTTCAGAGGCTTTCCCTGTCTTTGATGACCTTGACAGTTTGGAGTATTGGTCAAATATACAGTAGAATGCCTCTTTCTTGGAATTTGTCTGATATTCTTTTCATAATTAGACTGAGGTTATGGGTTTTTGAGAAGAAGATTACAGAGGTAGAGTGCTATTATTATCACATTATATGAAGGGTTCATACTTTCAACATGATTTATGATTGTTGATGTTGACCTTGATCGCCTGGCTGGGTAAATTTCTCAGGTTTCTCCTCGGGAAAGTTACTTTTTTACCCCCTTTACATACTGTAGTCTTTGGAAGGAAGTCACTATGTGTAGCCCACACTTAAGAAAAGCTTTATTCTTTTACGCTTTATCTCCTTGAGGCTGGAGTAGCTACATAGAATTACTTAGAATTCTGTATCAGACAGTTGACTATTTTCCATTTATTTATTTATAGACATGTATTTATATATTTATTAACATATATTTATTAAAATATTTATGATATATTTATATATAAATAAGTGTATGTATATTTATATAAGTATATATTTTTATATAAAAAGTGTATATATTTATATATGTATATATATTTTATAGAAATAAGTATATATAAATCATGCTGCTATAAAGACACATGCACACATATGTTTATTGCGGCACTATTCACAATAGCAAAGACTTGGAACCAACCCAAATGTCCAACAATGATAGACTGGATTAAGAAAATGTGGCACATATACACCATGGAATACTATGCAGCCATAAAAAATGATGAGTTCATGTCCTTTGTAGGGACATGGATGAAGCTGGAAACCATTATTCTCAGCAAACTATCGCAAGGACAAAAAACCAAACACTGCATGTTCTCACTCATAGGTGGGAACTGAACAATGAGAACCCTTGGACACAGGAAGGGGAACATCACACACCAGGGCCTGTTGTGGGGTGGGGGAAGGGAGAGCATTAGGAGACATACCTAATGTTAAATGACGAGTTAGTGGGTGCAGCACACCAACATGGCACATGTATACATATGTAACTAACCTACACGTTGTACACATGTACCCTAAAAATTAAAGTATAATAAATAAAAATAAAAGTAAAAAATATATAAAATATTACTTCCTTGAACACACAGTCTGATCATCCATACTAACAAAACCTCAAAAAAAAAAAGAAATAAGTATATATAAGTATTGTATATATAAAATACTTTTTTTTTTTTGAGATGGAGTTCCACTCTTATAGCCCAGGCTGGGGTACAATAGCATGATCTGGGCTCACCACAACCTCCACCTCCTGGGTTCAAGCAATTCTCCTGCCTCAGCCTCCTGAGTAGCTGGGATTACAGGCATGCACCACCCCGCCTGGCTAATTTTTTCTATTTTCAGTAGAGACAGGGTTTCTCCATGTTGGTCAGGCTGGTCTCAAACTCCTGACCTCAGGTGATCTGCCTGCCTTAGCCTCCCAAAGTGCTGGGATTACAGGGCATGAGCCACCGCACCCAGTCAATACTTTTATATGTAAATAAGTATATAAAATAAGTATTATATATATAAAATACTTTCTACACATATAGAAAGTATTTTATACTTTGAATTATAATTGAATATTATTATATTTTTGTTCAAATTCTTCCAGCTCCAGCCATTGGAAGCTCTTAGTGTTGGGCCCTAAGTTCTTTTTAAAAATCCTCAACAAAAATACCCATGTTTGTACATGTGCACCCATGTGCTGTCTTATTTTTTTCCTAGCAAGGAGCACTTCCTTACTTTCTGGCTCTCCAAGATGCTCTGGGTTCATCTTCTATATTTCCTGCTGCAGTCCTAGAATCAGCCATTTCTCCAAGGAGCTCGGTTCTTTTTATGGTAGTTTGCATGGTCTTAAAATCCAAAATGTAGATACTACACGTGTTCCTTGCTACTGGGCTAAGGTTGATTCATGGCCCTCGTGGTTGATAGGGAAAAGAAATGTATGTGTGTATATTAACAAGTGCACATACACACATTGTTCTATTTTTCTATATTTAACCCATCTTTATCTATTAATATATTGAGGCAATAATGAGTTCTTGCTGATGTCTTCAACTCTAATTCATTATCACATCAATATTCAAGCCTCCTCACCTATAGATCTACACATTTCCACTCCAACAATGAGAAATCTGACTCTCACCATCTGCCATCCGTTTACTTCATTGTACATTTCCAGTGTAAATGTAGAGCAGTATCGGGATTTTAGCGTGTACCCCTGTGCTATAGAACTTTATCAACTAGAGTACAATGCTTATGTACTGTTCCTTTTGCCTTTAGTTTTACAGACTGCATTCATTTCCAAAGTTATTTTGGTCAGCAAATTTTTCCCCAATCCTCTTCAGCAAGGTTGTTTCATACATTTTTAATATAATGTAGATTATTTTGTCATATGCTGCATTTTATTCTGGCACCTTTTGAACTCTTAAATGATTTTTTAAAAATCTATATACATTAAGGTTTATTCTTTGTGTGTAAAGTTCTATAACTTGACAAAAGCCTAGTGTCTTGTATCCACCATGGCAGTATCATACTGAATGATTTCACCACCCTAAATGTCCCTCTGTGGGCCAGGCACAGTGGCTCATGCCTGTAATCCCACCACTTTGGGAGGCTGAGGCAGGCAGATCACTTGAGGTCAGGAATTCAAGACCAACCTGGCCAACATGGTGAAACCTCGTCTCTACTAAAAATACAAAAATTAGCTGGGTGTGGTGGCAGGCCCCTGTAATTCCAGCTATTTGGGAGGCTAAGACAGGTGAGTTGCTTGAGCACAGGAGGCAGAGGTTGCAGTGAGCCAAGATTGTGCCACTGCACTCCAGCCTGGGCAACAGAGCAAGACTCTGTCTCAAAAAAAATATCCTCTGTGCATTACTGATTCAACCCTCCTCTCTCCCCCAGAACTCCTGGCCCTAGGGACCAGGGATCTGTTTATCATCTCTATAGTTTATCTTTTCTAGGATGTCAGGTAACTGGAATCAAGCATTACACAGCCTGAACAGGCTACATTCTTTTACTTAGCAATGTGAATTTAATATTCATGCATGTCTCCTCATGGCTTGGTAGCTCATTTTTTTAATCAATGAAAAGTATTGCATTCTATGGGTGAACTTCAGTTTGTTTATCCATTTGCTTACTGAAGGACACATCCATCTACCTTATAAATATTTTGTTGGATTTATATTTATTATGTTACATAAATATTTCACTTTTGGGGTTCAGCTGTAAATAGTATTTTTTAAATCACAAATTCCAATTGTTCATTCTGGAAAACAGAGAAGAAATTGACATTTATATATTAACTTTGGATATTGCAATCTTGCTATACTCACTTACTAGTTCCAGGAGATTTTTATGGATCCTTTTGTATTTTCTACACAAACAACTATATCATCTGTGGAGAAAGCCAGTTTTATTTCCTCCTTTCTAATCTGTTCTTGTCTGATTGCCCTAGCTAGAACTTCCACTAAATATTGGTTGATACAACTTGATATAGATATTTTAACTCATAAAATTCTGCAAGATAATGGCATTATTCCTATTTTACAGATAAAGAACCTGAGGTTTAAGACATTTAATTGGTTGGGCACGGTGGCTGTTGCCTGGAATTTCAGTAGTTTGAGAGGCCAAGGCAGACAGTACACTGAGGTCAGGAGTTCGAGACCAGCCTGGCAAACATGGTGAAACCCCATCTCTACTAAAAATACAAAAATTAGCCGGGCATAGTGGCAGGTGCCTGTAATCCCAGCTACTCAGGATGCTGAGGCAGGAGAATCACTTAAACCCGGGAGGTGGAGGTTGCAGTGAGCTGAGACTGTGCCACTGCACTCCAGCCTAGGTGACAGAGCAAGGCTCAATCTCAAAAAAAAAAAAAAAGACATCTAATTAAGTCAGAAAAAGGATAAAAACCTAGGTATTCTATCTTTAACTAGGCAGCACTTAGCATGGTGTACCTGTCTTTGCCACTTGCTATCTGTGAGAGACTGAGCAAGTTGTTTAAACTGTTTTAAGTGTCAGGTTCCTCAAATGTAAAATGAGGATGCTAATAACAGGCCCATCTTGTTAAATTAAATTAAATTAAATTAAATTAAATTAAATTAAATTAAATTAAATGTGTTAAAAGTTTTAAGTACCTAGAAGAGTATGTTGCACTACTATAAAAAACAGAAACCACAAAAAGCCCGAAGCTTTTCCTATTTCAGCATCTGCCTTTGAACCTGTCTTTTTCTGAGACTGAAAGATATTAATAGAATCAATTTCCTGAGTTTATTTTTTGTGAAATATGAACTACAGAAACAAGCACCAGGTAAGTACTCAACAAATATTGTCTGTAGTTATTAAAATATTTGCTAACTTGGGTGTTCTCCCATATTTCACTAGTACGGATATTCCTAAAATGAGTATTCTTACACACATACTTTTGCATAAGAATGATTTTTATGCAGACTGAAATCCGAGAAGTGGAATTGCTGGGTCCAGGATATGGATGTTGTAAATTTCAATACGTATCATACGATTTTCCTTTTAGAATCGACTGCTTTAAATCCTTCACAGTGTTTTATTCACAACTCCACCAAGTTTTTTTTTTTGTTGTTCTTTCTGTTGTTTTAGACTAGGGTCTTATTCTGTCACCCAGGATGGAGTGCAGTGACGCAATTATAGTTCACTATAGCCTCCAGCTTCTGGGCTCAAGTGATCCTCCCACCTCAGCTTCCTGAGTAGCTGGGGATACAGGTGTGCACTACCATGCCTGGCTAATTTTTTTAAAAATTTTTTTGTAAAGACAAGGGTCTCTCTATGTTCCCCAGGCTGGTCCCAAACTCCTGGCCTCAAGTTTGCTTCAGCCTCCCAAAGTACTGGGACTGCAGGCATGAGCCACCTCACCTGGTCTCAATTCCAGATATTACCAGCCATTTTCCATTTTCATCAATATAAAATCTGAAAAGTTGCATTTTATTTATTTCATTATAATTTACATTTATTTCTTAGTGAGATTAAGCATGCTTATGTGTCCATTGGCTTATTCATGTTTTTTAATCCATTTTTAAAAATTTAATTTAATATTCATTTCTTAAACTTATTTACTTATTTATTTATTTATTTATTGAGACCAAGACTTGCTCTGTTGCCCAGGCTGGAGTGCAATGGCACAGTCTCAGCTCACTGCAACCTCTGCCTCCCGGGTTCAAGTGATTCTCCTGCTTCAGTCTCTGAGTAGCTGGGATTACAGGCATGCGCCACCACACCCGGCTAATTTTGTATTTTTAGTAGAGACAGGGTTTCACCATATTGTCCAGGCTGGTCTCGAACTCCAGATCTCAAGTGATCCACCCGCCTCGAACTTCTGGGCTCAAGCAAACCTTTCACCTCAGCCTCCCAAAGTACTGGGATTATAGGCATGAGCCACCGTGCCTGGCAAACTTAATATTTTTTAGATTTTTTTTTTTTTTTTTTGAGACGGAGTCTCGCTCTGTCGCCCAGGCTGAAGTTCAGTGGCACGATCTCGGCTCACTGCAAGCTCCGCCTCCCGGGTTCACTCTATTCTCCCACCTCAGCCTCCCGAGTACCTGGGACTACAGGCGCCTGCCTCCACGCCCAGCTAATTTTTTGTATTTTTTAGTACAGACGGGGTTTCACCATGTTAGCCAGGATGGTCTAGAACTCCTGACCTCGTGATCCGCCCACCTTGGCCTCCCAAAGTGGTGAGATTACAGGCACGCCCAGCCCACTTAGATTTTTTTTTTTAGAGCGCCTGTTATATGCCAGCATGGTTTCTGGGCACTGGGAAGATAGTAGCTAACAAAATAGACGACATTTCTGCTATGGCTGGTCTGAGCTTGGGCACTGACGTTTCTGCTTATCATCTGTAAAGGCTCACTGTCAATTTTGGAAATTCATCCTTTGTCTATGATGCTCTACAATTTGTGGAGGGGGAGGAAATGGAATTATGAAGGCAGAGACAGATAAGGTACATCTTACAGATATAGTACACACCATCTTTACAATATAAATCAGTAACTGCCATAAGTGTGATAAAGTCTTAATTCTTACTAGGAGCAGAGGTGGCTTTTCCAAACTGGAAATGTAATCATGATTGAGTGTTAATGATGTTCTTGATTTACCAGGAAGAATCAGATGCTGAGGCCCTGACAGCATGCTTGATCACAGCTGAAGCATGGTAGGAACAGCAGCATCAAGGTAATATCACAATCTGGAATGCCCTGATTTACAGCAATTCTTTTTTTATTCTATACTAATTAAACAACACTGAGTGTTACGGCCTGACAACGAAATCTCAGGCCCAAATCCAAAAGTCAAAACTGAAGCAAAGTACCCAATGTGTCCTGATGATAGAGTCCTTTTGGGTAGTAGATTGGAAATCAATAGTTTTAATCTGAGTATAGAGTGCTCTTATTCAAGGGGATAATTTGTATCTAATCCGTGCTAATGACTTAGCTTCGAACATGCAGGGTGCTGAGACCTGATGTAGATAAACAACAGCAATGTTTCATTACCATTTGTGTCAGAGAAGACTGGGGTGGGCACCAAGTCTACTGACTAGGACAGTTCCTGGCAGTTTGCCTGAAAAGGTGAAATTAGGCTGCTCTCCTGGGGACAGCTATAAACACTTCTTCTGTCTCTTCTGTCAAGTGTTTTCTTACGAGGCAAACGCATCCACCATGAGAAATCAGATCAGGATCTGAAAATCTGTGTTCTCTGAGAAAAAACAGAGCATGGTCCATACGACCTGGAGGGAAATAATATTAAGGAAAGTTCTCAAGACTCATGCCTGTAATCTCAGCACTTTGGGAGGTGGAGGCTGGAAGATCCTTAAGTATGATAGCTCGAGACCTGCCTGGGCAACATAGAGAGACCCCATCTCTACAAAAAAATTAGCCAGGTATAGTGGTGCATGCCTGTAGTCCCAGCTACTTGGGAGGCTGGGGTGGGATGATTGCTTGAGCCCAGGAGTTCGAGGCTTCATTGAGCTATGATTGCATCACTGCACTCCAGGCTGAGCAACAGAGCAAGACACCGTCTTTAAAAAATATATAATATATAAATTAATTAAGGAAAGGGAAACTTTCCGCAACACACACACACACACACACACACACACACCCTGAATCATCTTTGAAATAGCCTTCTTTAACCTGAAAATATCCTTAGAGAAGTGATCCTTTACTTGTTTGTTTATTATAAGGTAACACCTTAAAAGGAATAATCTCCAAGCTGACTCTTGCTGCCTCAAGGGCCAAACTGTGACTTTTGCGACAAGCCCGTGTGATTTGTATGTTGGACATTCAGGGATATGGAATATGATGTTGAAATGAAGTGTTTGTTTTTCTCATTGAGGTTGTAAATAAGCATTATTAGTCCAGAATTATGTTAACGAGGCGGGTGGATCACCTGAGGTCAGGAGTTTGAGACCAGCCTGGCCAACATTGTGAAACCCCAACTCTATTAAAAATACAAAAAGTAGCCAAGCATGGTGGTGCACACCTGTAGTCCCAGCTACTCGGGAGGCTGAGGCAGGAGAATTGCTTGAACTGAGGAGGTGGAGGTTGCAGTGAGCCATGATCACACCACTGTACTCCAGCCTGGGTGACAGAGTGAGACTCCATCTCAAAAAAAAAAAAAAAAAAAAAAGTCTGTTCATTGGAAAACACTACAGAACACAAATGAGATGTTGCAACAGACTAGTGACCCCCAAATGTTCTCTCTGTGTGAGCGTCTCAGGTTTATAATGAATTCTTCTGATTTTAAATTTAATAACAGATATTGTTCATTTAGCTTATGCTATGTCCATTTATAATTTATGTATGTTGCTTATACTATGCATGTATATGTTATATATTTTGTTTATAATATGTATGTTATTTGTAGGTAAACATATAGACACTATATATGTATAATATATATGGCTTATATTATATTATTTTTATGTTATATTATTTTAATTATTATATTAAATTATATATAGTAAGCCATATGTAATGCCCAATTATATATTTGAAAATTCCCAATTATATATTAAATAATATATGTATACTATGTATATTTTATATGTATGTATTGTATGTAATCCTTAATCTTCACAAGAAGCACAAAATACACATTATTATACTCATTTTATAAATAAAAAATTGAATTTCAACAAGAATTGATAGCCTGTTAAATGTCACACAGCTGATATGTACCCAACTTTGATTGAAACTCCTATCATTCTCCATCAATCTCAATGTTAATATTAATATTAATAACAATGATAATCCCACTATGTTCTAGACTCTGTTCCAAGCACTATATATATAAATATTCATTTTAACTCCATGAGATAGGTATTATCACCTCTCCATTGTACAGGTGAGAAAACCGAGACACAGAGAGGAAATTGCTGGAAATCACATATTTAATAAGGGTGGAAATGGTATTTAGATCTAAGAAGTTCAACTACAAAGACCAGTGATATTTCTATTATATCTTTAGAATCGATGTCTTCCTTTTTTTTGAGACAGAGTTTCCTCTGTTGCCCAGGCTGGAGTGCAGTGGCACGATCTCAGCACACTGCAATCTCCACTTCTCAGGTTCAAGCAATTCTCCTGCCTCAGCCTCCCGAGTAGCTGGGATTACAGGCACCTGCCACCGTGCCCAGCTAATTTTTGTGTTTTTAGTAGAGATGGGATTTCACCATCTTGGCCAGGCTAGGGATCTATTTCTTGAGGTAGAATTTAAAGGTGGAAGGAAATCACATTGAACCTTTTATGAACATTGCCAAATTGCTGTCTCAGCAGATTATTCATATTTCCTCACCCAGCAGCAATGTACATGACTGCCCAC
The DNA here is from genome assembly GCF_000001405.40 of Homo sapiens. Classification (NCBI taxonomy): domain Eukaryota; kingdom Metazoa; phylum Chordata; class Mammalia; order Primates; family Hominidae; genus Homo; species Homo sapiens. The sequence continues at coordinate 50,225,365 of NC_000011.10, forward strand.
TTCAGCACACTCCTATCAAACATATATTTTCTCAAAAAAAAAAAGAAAAAAAAAAAACACCCAAGCATCTTAGCTACTTTAAAAGGTACAGCATATCGTTAATGTTTAGTGACTTTGCAAGTTTGTCATGTATTTTAGTAGATATTTATAATCCCTCCCTGGAAGATAGTTCTCCTCCCTTAGAATAATCGTCTTGAGTGATCATTTGATCGCCCTGAGGACTGGAGTCACTGAGAGCGGTGGCATTTCCCTCACCTGGTCCTGTTGACCCTGGATGCTTCCAGCTTCCTTGCTGACTCCATATGTCCCTGACAAAACACTGAGCCTCATTCTGGATCCACATTTAGTTCATGCCTTACCATTTTCCCAGGTTGATCTTGTCATAGTGAATGTATTTGATCCTGAAGGAAGAAAAGGAAAAATCTTTCTTGGGGTCACAGGAAATTCTATGATCAATCAATTCTAGCTATGATCATTATTATTATTAGATTTAGGAGATTTATATTATGGGTATATGGGAAGAAATAGTCAAGAGAAGAGAAATGTTGAGAGGAAACAGGAGAGAGAGTCATTCCTTAGGAGAAGTAATGTCCCAACTTTACAATTTTTCCAAGGAGCAAAATATACCCCCATCTCCAATTTTAGTTATTTAGGCTCTTAGCCATGTCCTCCTTCTTCTGATTATAATTTACAACAAAATGATGTGGCTTCCGTTTTTGAACAAATGATGCAATGGACAAAAACCTCAAATATACCCTTGACTAATTAGGCCACTCATCAATTGGGCTTTAGCTTATCTATTCAGTCAGAAGACACAGTCAGATGACATCAGACTTATTACCATGGGCAAAGAGATTACTAAGGGATTAGAAGATTGGAAAAGCTGAATGGTATATCCTGGTAAGATTTTTGTGAGAACTTCATTTTCTAAACCTGCCTCTCTATGTCCCAAAGATTTATACAAATGATTTAATGCTTTGATGTGAATATGCCTGTGGCTTCAGAAATGTCAAAAATATTGCGTGAAAATGAAAATTTCAGGCTGCCAACTTTATGGTCTCCATGGAGTCATAGAAACTGTTTGGTTAATTCTTGCCATTGCATTATTTCCAGAAGTTCCCTACTCCACTTCCCACATACAAACAAAATAGCTGAACCTTTCTTTACACACATCCATGTTTATTTATTCAATGACCTTCTGTATTGGCACCCTCAATCAGCTTAGTCATACAACTAACTGGTTAACACAGTGATAAAGCTTGGCTTCCTCCACCTCTACCTCTCTCATATCTGCCTCTTCTATCCCAACCTCACTGCTCTTGTAGTTTTGTGAAATCTTGTGTAGTTTTGCATGCTATTTTTCCTTATTTTTCCCCCAATTATCCTCCTGCCAAAGCTATTTTTCTAAAGTACAAATAGTCACAAAGCATTTTCCCACTTATGTCAATTCCAAGACTCCCAAACATCCATGGTAGTGCTGACAATAGACAATGATGATGGGAATGTTCTGTATCAGAGTTATTCAGTATGGTAGCCACCAGCCACATGTGGCTATTGAGGATGTCAAGACTGGTTGGCTAGAATTAGAAATTGAATGTTTAAAATTTTTAATTAATTTAAATGTAAATAACCATATGTGGCTAAGGTGGTCCATATTGGATGCTGCAGATCTGTGGGATAAAGTCCAAGTTAAGTAGGGTACAGGGATGCCATGCTAATGGAAAATGATGGAGTGCCTCCAAGATTTAGCTCCTGACTGCCTTTTTAGTCTCAGCTACCACTCTTCTCTGCCTTGTATTTTTGCCAGCAATACAAATACCTTGTAGCTCTTGAACATACTTTTCCAGGCAACGCTACAATGTCTTTGTACAACCCATTCCTTTGGCCTTGTATATCTGCCTTTCCTGACTTTTTAAAACTGCCATACCCTGTAGGATCCTTTAAAATAGATGTGAGAAAGAAATCACTGTATCAAAAAGACCTTCACCTGTATGTTTATCATGGCACTATTCAAAATAGCAAAGATATGAATCAACCTACATGTCCATCAAGGGAGGACTGAATAAAGATGTGGCATATATCTACCATGGAATACTACTGAGCCATAAAAAAGAATGAAAATTTGTCTTTTTCAGCAACATGGATGAAATCGGGGGCCAATGTCTTAAGTGAAATAAGTCAGAAATGGAAAGTCAAATGCAACATATTCTCACTTATAAATGAGAGCTGAACAATGGAGGTGGGAGGCTGGGAGGAGGGTGAGTGTTGAAAAATTACCTATTGGGTATCTCCTACAATATTTAGATGACAGGCACACTAAAAGACCAGACTTCACCACTACATGATATTTGCATGGAAGAAACCTGCACCTGTACCCCCTAAATATATAAAAATTTTAAAAAAACAAATAAATTAAATACACCTGAGACTTATTCCTCCAGAGATTCTTCCTTATCTAACCCAGAAAATCAATTTTTTTATTTTTACCTCTGTAGGACATTCTATTATTGCACTGATAACATTAAATTATAATTACTTACCAAACTATCATTTTCTTAAGAACAAGTTCATGACTTCAGTTGTTTGTTTTTCTAGCATCTGCCACATTACCCAGGATAGAGTGGTCACTTAATAAATGTATGTTCAGTTAGATGTCACTGAATTATTTCATTGACCCGACACAGAAAAAAAAAATATTTAACTGATTTTTTTTCTGGTTTAGTGAATATCCTTTAGACTCAGCTTTAAGTAAAGCACCAAGAAATCTCATTTCCTTAGCAATAGAAAAAGAGTTGGGGATAGAGTGAGGTTACTGAATAGAAAATTGACTGCAAATGTCAAATATCAGGTTTCATCTGTTCATTCAGCCCAGACAGTTTGAGAATCAAAAAACATTCAAAGTACAAAGGGCTTTTCAAAAACTACTTTCTGTTATTGTAAAATTGTTTCTCCTACAACCTCTTGCCAGATTTTGGTTGTGTTTAAAATATACATAGTGCCAGTGTTTTCAGGAAACATATATAAATTAGATCTCTCCTTTGCATGGTTTAAAATATTATAGTTATTTCTCAAGGTAGAGGGAATCAATTTTTCTTGTAGTGAGTTCATTCCTTTCACAGATGTCCATACAATTAATAGACTCCATGTGGGTATCTATGAATCTGACCTGGAAAGGCCATGAATGGCTGTCTCATTTTTCCCCAGCTGTTCTTAAATCTAAAACATAATACTACCCAGCAGAGTTTAGATGCACATCGAGGCTTTATTTGTAGGGAACTAAAATAATATTTGGTTCTCAAATCCAAATGATCTAGCAGACTCTGAAAGGCAGAACTGAAAAGTCATACATGAGACTGAACCCTCACATCTGTACAGCATTTCACAATTTACCAAGCATATTTAACCCTATTATCTCCTTGGATTGTTACAAGAAACTCTTGAAATAAACAGAGTAAAAGCCCATTGTCTGCATTAATGAAAGAAAGAAAGAAAGAAAGAAGAAAGAAAGAAAGAAAGAAAGAAAGAAAGAAAGAAAGAAAGAAAGAGAGAAAGAAAAGAAAGAAAGAAAAGAAACTGATGGCTCTGTGGCTGATCCAACATGTCCAAGTTCTGACAGCCAGCAGGGCAGGGATAGAAATCTTGGAGTCAGAGACAGAGATCTGAGATAGAGACAGAGTCTCGCTCTGTCACCCAGGCTGGAGTGCAGTGGTGCGATCTCGGCTCACTGCAACCTCCACCTCCCGGGTTCAAACGATTCTCCTGCCTCAGCGTCCCGAGTAGAGGGAGACTGTCTCAAATAATAATAATAATAACCTTACTGAAATGTATAATCTTCTTTTACTCAACTAAGTTACTTCATGAATAGGTAAAATGTGGCCAGTTACTGAGGGTTTACAAAGTAACATTTAGCAACATCTCTAGCAGAGAGACCTCCCTTGTAAGCTACTGGTTTGTAGCATTGCCAAATGACATCATTGTAAAAAGCACTGTATCTCTAATGGGTATGAACACACTTGTTCTATTTTTTCCCCAACATGCTCTTTCTCTTACATTACATGTTTGGCTCAGTGACATAACACATGATCACCCAAAATAGAATATTCAGTATCCTCACTTCCTTCGATCATTCATCTAAATTCTCTTGTTCTACAAGATCTGAGTGCTACTATCTCTCCATTTTCTTGGCCACTGCTATAGTGAGGCCTTTATTTCTTATCAGGATAATTTCAGTGCTATCTTTATTATCAACAGGTATTTATTGCACTTCTCCTAGGCTATGCACTGCAAATATAATCATGAGCATTCTAGCCACCAGGGAAATCAGGAAGTTGAATAACAAGCTCTCCTTAGGGTAGTTCAAGTTTTCCTTCTGAAAAACATGATTCTCCTATCTAACTACATTTAGTGTTCTGTTTATGTGATATATTTCACTCAAAATAAAACAAAAGAAATAGAGCAAAACTTTCAGGGCCTTCCAATCATTAGATGAAGCCTAGATTCACTAGCATGAAATACAGGACTCTTAAGATTTTTGCAAAACTCAGTTCTTGCCTCACTTTCCAGACCCAGTTCATGCCCTTCTTCCTTTCTCTCTCTCTCTCTTTTTTTTTTTTTTTTTTTTTTTTGAGAGGGAGTCTTGCTCTTTCTTTCTTTCTTTTTGAGGTGGAGTTTTACTCTTGTTTCCCAGGCTGGAGTAAAACGGCACCATCTCAGCTCACTGGAACCTCTGCCTTCCTGGTTCAAGTGATTCTCCTGTTTCAGCCTCCTGAGTAGCTGGGATTACAGGCACCTGCCACCATGTCCAGCTAATTTTGTATTTTTAGTAGAGATGAGGTTTCTCCATGTTGGTCAGGCTGGTCTCGAACTCCTGACCTCAGATGATCTGCTGGCCTCGGCCTCCCAAAGTGCTGGGATTACAGGCATGAGCCACTGTGTCCGGCCAAGTCTCTCTCTTTCACCTGGCCTATTTTATTATTAAATTTTATGTTTTAGTATGAACTGATGCATTTTTATTATATTCAATGGTTTTTTTTTTCTTTTTTTTTTTTTTTTTTGAGGCAGAGTCTTGCTCTGTCAACCAGGCTGGAGTGAGGTGGCATGGTCATGGCTCATTGTAGCCCTGACCTCCAGGGCTCAAGTCATCTGCCCACCTCAGCCTCCCAGTAGCTGGTACAACAGGCGTGCCTGGCCAATCTAAAAATCTTTTGTAGAAGGCCGGGTGTGGTGGCTCACACCTGTAATCCCAGCACTTTGGGAGGCCGAGGCAGGCAGATCACTTGAGGTCAGGAGTTTGAGACCAGCCTGGCCAACATGGTGAAAACTGTCTCTACCAAAAATACAAAAAAAAAAAAAAATTAGCTGGGTGTGGTGGTGCACACCTGTAATCCCAGCTACTCCAGAGGCTGAGGTAGGAGAAACACTTGAACATGGGAGGTGGAGGTTATAGTGAGCTGAGATCGTGCCACTGCACTCTAGTCTGGGTGACAGAGCGAGATGCTCTTTCAAGAAAAAAAAAAAAAAAAGTCCAGGCGTGGTGGCTCATGTCTGTAATCCCAGCACTTTGGGAGGCCAAGGTGGGCAGAAAACCTGCGGTTGGGAGTTTGAGAGCAGCCTGACCAACATGGAGAAACCCCGTCTCTACTAAAAATACAAAATTAGCCAGGCGTGGTGGTGCATGCCTGTAATCCCAGCTACTCCAGAGTCTGAGGCAGGAGAATCGTTTGAACCCAGGAGTGGGAGGTTGCAGTGAGCTGAGATCACACCATTGCACTCCGGCCTGGGCAACAAGAGCGAAATTCTGTCTCAAAAATAAAAAGAAGAAAAGAAAAATATTTTGTAGAGATGGTGTTTTGTCATGATGGCCAGGCTGGTCTCAAACTCCTGGGCTCAAGCAATTCTCCCACCTTGGCCTCCCAAAGTGCTGGGATTACAGACGTGAGCCACAACGCCTGACTTTAATTCTTTCTTGTATACATATGAAATTGACATTTGTGTATGATGTGAGGTAGGAGTCAAGACTGACTTTTTTTTCTTTTCTTTTTTTGAGATGGAGTCTCGCTCTGTCACCCAGACTGGAGTGCAGTGGCTTGATGTCAACTCACTGCAATCTCCACCTCCCAGGTTCAAGCTATTCTCCTGCCTTAGCCTCCCAAGTAGCTGGAATTACAGGCATGTGCCACCAAGCCCTGCGAATTTTTGTATTTTTAATAGAGACGGGGTTTCACCACATTGGTCAGGCTGGTCTCGAACTCCTGACCTCATGATCCGCCCACCTCAGCCTCCCAAAGTGCTGGGATTACAGGCGTAAGCCACCACACCCAGCCAAGATTGACTCTTTTTCATAGGGATTTCTAATTGACTGGCACCATTACTGAAATGATACTTTCCTCACTAATACAATGTCAACTTTGTCATTTATCAGGTGATTGGTAAGTTTTGGGTCTGTTTCTAGACTCTGTTCATTGACATTTTGTCTATCCGTGTTTATAAACTGTCTCAATTCTTGTAGTTTTATAACAAGTCTTCCTAACTGGCGGTATAAGCCCTTTAACTTTCTTCTGCAATATTGAATTCCTGTTTAGGTATTTGCATTTTTCACAAAAAAAAATTTTAATTGGCTTGTAAATTTCCAACAAAAAATAGTGCTAGAATTTTTCTTGTGATGTGTTGAATCTACAGATTACGTTGGCAAGACTGATTTTTTTTTTCAGTATTGATCTTCCAGTCTTTGACCATAGTATATACTTATTATGTAAGACTTCTGGAATCCCTTTCAATAATGTTCTGTAGCTTTCGGGATAGTTATCTCATTAGTTTTATTCATAGGTATTCAATAATTTTTGGTGCTATTGTCAATGGTTAAAAGCCACCTACTATGATACCTCAGAATACTGGCAAGCAAATACATTTTACCTAATTTATTTTTTTCACATCAGAATTATTTTGCCTTATTATCTATTTATTTATTTATTTATTTGAGATGGAGTCTCACTCTATCAGCCAGGCTGCAGTGCTGTGGCATGATCTTGGCTCACTGCAACCTCTGCCTTCCAGGTTAAAGCGATTCCCCTGCCTCAGCCTCCTGAGTAACTGGGATTACAGGCACCACTGGGATTACAGCTCATGCCACCACGCCTGGCTAATTTTGTATTTTTAGTAGAGACCAGGATTCATCATGTTGGCCAGGCTGGTCTCAAACTCCTGACCTCAACTGATCTGCCTGCCTCTCAAAATGCTGAGATTACAGGCATGAGCCACTGCACCTGGTCTCTTTTGCTTGTTAGTGAGAGTTGGGATAAGAAAGATAAAATAACATTTACAGTTGTTTTGTTCATTTTGTTATGTTTTGTTTGAGACAGAATTTCACTCGTCACCTAGGCTGGAGTGTAATGGCACGATCTTGGCTCACTGTAATCTCCGCCTCCCTGGTTCAAGAGATTCTCCTGCCTCAGCCTCCCAAGTAGTTGGGATTACAGGCAGGTGCCACCACACCCAGCCCATTCACAGTTTATTTATTCATTTATTTTTTGAGATGGAGTTTCGCTCTTGTCACCCGGGCTGGAGTGCAATGGCGTGATCTCAGCTCACTGCAGTCTCTGCCTCCCGGGTCCAAGCGATTCTCCTGCCTCAGCCTCCTTAGTAGCTAGAATTACAGGCACACGCCACCATGCCTGGCTAATTTTCGTATTTTTAGTAGAGACGGGGTTTCGCCATGTTAGCCAGCTGGTCTCAAACTCCTGACCTCAAATGATCCACCCACCTTGGCCTCCCAAAGTACTGGGATTACAGGCGGGAGCAACCACGCCTGGCCTGGATATTTCTAAAGAAAAAAAAAATCTCACAATTCTGTTTTTAAAATTGTGTATTTGCTTCTTCACAAAACCTACCAAATTTTATTTCAAAACTGTAAATGGGGCTGGGCATCGTGGCTCATGCCTGTAATCCTAGTACTTTGGGAGGCCAAGGTGGGTGGATCACTTGAAATCAGGGGTTTGAGACCAGCCTGGCTAACATGGTGAAACCCCGTCTCTACTAAAAATATAAAAAAAGGTTAGGTGACTCATGCCTGCAATCCCAGCACTTTGGGGGGCCGAGGCCAGTAGATCACTTGAAGTCAAGAGGTCAAGACCAGCCTGGACAAGATGGTGAAACCCTGTCTACTAAAAATTCAGAAATTGGCTGTGCGTGGTGGCGTGCACCTGTAGTCTCAGCTACTCAGGAGGCTGAGACAGGAGAATTGCTTGAACCCAGGAGGCGGAGGTTGCAGTGAGCCGAGATCACGCCACTGCACTGCAGCCTGGATAATGGAGTGAGACTCAATCTCAAAAAAATATATATACATCCAGCTTGGGCAATGTAATGAGACCCCATCTCTACAAAAAAAATTTAAAAAAAAATGAGCCTGGCCTGGTGGCCCACATTTGTGATCCCAACTACTCAGGAGGCAGAGGTGGAGGATTGCTTGAGCCTGGGAGGTTGAGACTGCAGTCAGCAGTGATCATGCCACCGTACTCCAGCCTTGGTGACAGTGAGACTCTGTTTCAAAAAATTCATATAAATTTTCAGAGTCTCTCTGAATTTATTCTCTTTTGAGGGTTGCCTGTAAAAAATAAAATATGTTTAGCCCCTAAAGCCATGTACCATTTCTCAGAATGTTGACTGGTAACTCCTCGGATAACTGAAACAACTTTAGACTTTAATAAGTCCTAGATTACATTTTAGTCTCTCATTTTTTAATTGTAGGACAGTGTGTTACATAATCTTCTGAGAGGTATCTTTTGGTCAAGGGAAAAAACTTAATTTGTCATCTGTCAAGCCTAGTTCAGCTTACTCTTCTTGATATTCAGAATTACAGATAATTAAAACTGCTAGCTTTATCACTCTCAGTCATCTAGGAATTTGCTTTCAGTTAGGGTTTTCCTCCTGGATGTTTGTAATTTAGCATTTTGAGACATATGCACTACCCTATTTATTGAACAGTGAAAGATTGTTATAAAAAAGGAAGGGGGATTGTAGAGCTATTCACAGACATTAGAGAGTAGGTGCTTTGGCTAGGCTACACTTTCACAAGTAATTTTTAGTATGTGTGAAAGACAAAGAAAAGAACATTGGCCATGGGCAGTAGTGCCCGCCTGTAATCCCACCACTTTGGAAGGCCAAGGCAGGCAGATCGCTTAAGCCCTGGCATTGGAGACCAGCCCAGGCAACATGGTGAAACCCCATTTCTCCAAAAATATACCAAAAAAGTTAGCTACACATGGTGGCATGTGCCTATAGTCCCAGCTTCTTGGGAGGTTGACGCAGGAGGATAGCTTGAGCTCAGGAGGTGGAGTCTGAAGTGAGCTAAGATCTCACTACAGCTTGGACGACAGAGTGAGACCTTGTCTCAAAAAAATAAATAAATAAAATATGAAAGCAATCTAAAGTTGTTTCTAGACTATGTCTCTGAAGATTGGGTCTTTATATATCTCTAGCCAAGTGATTTTGGTGCAGTATCATGCATTTCATTAACTTTCATTGAATGACTGGACAATTAGTTTGCAAGTTTATCTAGTCAAACTGAAATAATCTCTCATATTTACTCTGGTTAATGTATTTTTTCTAAAATATTAAAGGGCTATTATGTGCTTGGTTAGTTTAAATAGCAGCATATTAGATGACACTGTTTTTTTTTTTGAGACAGAGTTTCACTCTTATTGTCCAGGCTGGAATGCAATGGTACGATCTCAGTCACTGCAACCTCTGCCTCCTCGGTTCAAGCAATTCTCCTGCCTCAGTCTCCCGAGCAGCTGAGATTACAGGCATGCACCACCACACCCGGCTAATTTTGTATTTTTAGTATCAATCTCCTGATCTCATAATCTGCCCGCCTCGGCCTCCCAAAGTGCTGGGATTTCATGCATAAGCCACCGTGCCAGGCCTTTGATGGCACTGTTAAGTCATCTAATATGCCATGTTAATTACCACACTAGCCTCTTAACTAATGCAAATTCCACTTGAAAAAAATTGTAATACCTCCATGGGCTGTGTTTCAGAAGCTAAAATGTTAGGTAATGTTAATATGATACAAATTGAACCACTGACTATCCACTATTTTACATGTGGGTCTTTCCATGTAAGAATAGTCTAGTTCCAGAGCTATCATTTCAGAATTGCTTGACACATGCATTTTATTTTATCCCTTTTGGTGGTAGTGGGGGGGGGGGCTAGCCTCTCTTGGCCACTGCTTTTCTCAGTTTTCAAGCAGCCGTATCTCATTTTGGCATATGTTACATACCATATGCTAACCAACTCTTTCAGTTGAGAGCAAAGTTTTTGCTACCAACTCTTTCAATTGAGGGCAGATGTTACATGTACTTAAATATACCTTTAAGGAATCTCTTTATATCACTACTGAGACTTCAGTAGCATATGACACCACAGAACTGGACTTGGGGGAAAAAAGCCTTTGTCATTTATTAGATATTTGTGTATTAACTCCAAGTATGTCAATATAAAACCATGTTGACTGATTCTGACCCATGGGTGTTAATTTCTGGAATCTTGTCACAATAGTTCAAATCTTACCCTGCCATTTTGTATGTATTATCTTTTCTAGGAAGAAAAATCTGTAAAACTGGCCAACATCTTCATCTAGTGTCAGCATAATTCAAGTTACACTATAATGTAATATTGAGCACCCTATTATTGTATACGTTTATTTTGCTAAAGAGCTTAACTTCAGATCTCTTTTTGTTGGTCAACCTTTTGGTTTTTTATTCCAGAGTGGTATTTCAAGAATTGACTGTATCAAAGCTGCAAAAGTCCTTTTCTGGTAGCCAGTCATTGTGGGACTATGATGGATAATGGCACAAGTGTTACCAGGAAGGATAGGAGAAAGCATCTCATTTTTTTGCATTATTATCATACTGAAATAAGACACAACTAGCAAATGAATCAGACTAATCTAAACAATTCAGGGCATTACCTTGACAATGAGACTCAGTGCTCAAGACATATCCAGAAGGCATTGGCTAACTATCATCAGCTTTTCATGTCTGCTATGAGCGCAACAAAAGAGAAATTTTTGCATTTTTCTGATTTAATTATGCACCATTAATACCAAGTAACTGTTTTTAAAGAAGGCCCTGATGTTCTCCTGCAACAGGAAGTGAGATACTATGGGGCCGGGCGTTGTGGCTCATGCCTGTAATCTCAGCACTTTGGGAGGCCAAGGCGGGCAGATCACGAGGTCAAAAGATCGAGACCATCCAGGCTCACATGGTGAAACACTGTCTCTACTAAAATTACAAAAATTAGCTGGGCATGGTGGCATGTGCCTGTAGTCCCAGCTTGGGAGGCGGAAGCAGGAGAACCTGGGAGGAAGAGGTTGCAGTGATCCAACATTGCGCTACTGCACTCTAGCCTGTGCAACAGAGGGAAACTCCATCACATAAAAAAAAAAAAAAAAGTGAGATGCTTGGCTGGACACAGTGGCTCATGCCTGTAATCCCAGCACTTTGGGAGGCCCAGGCAGGTGGATCACAAGATCAAGAGATCGAGACCATCCTGGCCAACATGGTGAAACCCCGTCTCTATAAAAAATACAAAAAATTAGTTGGGTGTGGTGGTGCGTGCCTGTAGTCCCAGCTACTCAGGAGGCTGAGTCATGAGAATCATTTGAACCCGGGAGGAGGAGGTTGCAGTGAGCCAAGATCACGCCACTGCACTCCAGCCTGGGTGACAGAGTGAGACTCCATCTCAAAAAAAAAAAAAAATTGTATTTTTTGTAGAGGTGGGGTTTCACCCTGTTACCTAGGATGGTCTCACACTCCTAAACTGCAGTGGTGTGATCATGGCTCACTGCAGCCTTGCCAGTAATTTTTCTCCATTTAAAAAAAAAACAGTTGAGGGCTGGCATAGTAGCTAACATGTGTTAACCCAGTACTTTGGGAGGCCGAGATGGGAGAATTCCTTGAGGTCAAGAGTTCGAGACCAGCCTAGTCGACACAACAAAACCCCATCTCTGTTTAAAAAATAAAACAAAATAAAACAAAAAAGAGGCTGGACACGGTGTCTCACGCCTATAATCCCAGCACTTTGGGAGGCCGAGGCAGGTGAATCATCTGAGGTCAGGAGTTCAAGAGCAGCCTGACCAACACGGTGAAACCCCGTCTCTACTTAAAAAAAAAAAAATTAGCCGGGCTTGGTAGCACACGCCTGTAGTCCCGGCTACTCAGGAGGCTGAGGCAGGAGTGAACCTGGGAGGTGGAGGTTGCAGTGAGCCGAGATCACCCCACTGCAATCCAGCCTGGGTGACAGAGCAAGACTCCATCTCAAAAAAAAAAAATTCTTTTTTTCACTTAGTATATCATTACTATCTTCTCTTACAATTAGAAATTTATAAAGTTTTTTTAAATGCCTACATAATATTCTTTTAGGTAAATCAACATAACTTACCAATTAATTTTTTATTGCTGAATGCTTCAGTTTCTTAAAAATTTTCCATATAGTAGGCCAGGTATGGTGGCTCACGCCTGTAATCCCAGCACTTTGGGAGGCCGAGGCGGGCTGATCACGAGTTCAGGAGATCGAGACCATCCTGGCTAACACAGTGAAACCCCATCTCTACTAAAAACACACACACACAAAAATTAGCCAGGAGTGGTGGTGGGTGCCTGTAGTCCCAGCTACTTGGGAGGCTGAGGCAGGAGAATGGCATGAACTCGGGAGGTGGAGCTTGCAGTGTGCTGAGATAGCACCACTGCACTCCAGCCTGGGCGACAGAGTGAGACTCTGTCAAAACAGCAAAAAAAAAAATCCATATATAGAAGTGAAATATTTAAAAATAAAATAAATCTCTGTTCCCATTTCAGATTGTTTTCTTGCACTGGGATCAAGTTGAAAGTGTTAACAACCAAAATACTTAGTATTTTGTTGATGAGTTAATGCTTAATTATTTCTTAATCTTTACCACTTTTGGGAACCTGAAGTTTATGGTCCAGATATTTTTTGGAAAGTCAGTTCTATTTTCTTCTCCCCAAATCAGAAACTGTAGTTTATTACATTACTTTTGGTGAACACATCTTAAAACCCTCAAAGATGATGACTGAGCCAGCATTTCAGCAAATCTCCTAACTAATAACTGAATTTAACAACATCAGATTAGGTATTTGGTGTAATTTTAGCTACCATGCAAAATTAGAATTATTTATTTATTTATTTATTTATTTATTTATTTATTTATTTTGAGATAGCGTTTCAGATTGCTGCCCAGGCTGGAGTGCAGTGATTCCATCTCGGCTCACTGCAGCCTCTGCCTCCTGGGTTCAAGCGATTCTCCTGCCTCATCCTCCTGAGTAGCTGGGACTACAGGCACCTGCCACCACACCAGGCTAATTTTTTGTGTTTTTAATAGAGACGGGGTTTTACCATGTTTACCAGGCTGATCTTAAACTCCTGATGTCAGGTGCTCTGCCTGCCTCAGCTTCCCAACATGCTGGGATTACAGGTATGAGCCACCGTGCCCAGCCAAGAATTTCTAGGACTAATTTGATCCTAGTTTTAATGATCCCAACATCATTCTTTCATATGATTTAGAAATCATAAAACTGCTACTTCTACATCAGAGGTTCTTACGGTGAATAGGCTTCTATGGTCTGTGATTTCACCCCCTCAGAATTATATGCAGCATATTGTGTTTATATGCATTTTTTCTGGCAAGATTACCCATAGCTTTTATTAGATTTCAGAGAAAGTAAATTGTATGTCCACTCCCCGAAATGAAAACAAGTCAAAGAATAACACCATTCAAAAAAATTTTTTTTGAGATAGAGTTGGTCTGTCCCTAGGCTAGGCTGCAGTGGCATGATCATAGCTCACTGTAACCTTGAACCTCTGGGCTCAAGGATCCTTCCGCCTCAGCCTCTTAAGTAGCTAGGACTACACGTGTGTGCTACTATGCCTGGCTAATGTTTTTGTTTTTTTTTTTTTTTTTTTTTTTTTTTGAGACGGAGTTTCGCTCTGTCGCCCAGGCTGAAGCGCAGTGGCGCGATCTCGACTCACTGCAAGCTCCGCCTCCCGGGTTCACGCCATTCTCCTGCCTCAGCCTCCCGAGTAGCTGGGACTACAGGCGCGCGCCACCATGCCCGGCTAATTTTTGTATTTTTAGTAGAGACGGGGTTTCACCGTGTCAGCCAGGATGGTCTCGATCTCCTGACCTCGTGATCCGCCCGTCTCGGCCTCCCAAAGTGCTGGGATTACAGGCGTGAGCCACCGCGCCCGGCCTGTTTCTGTGTTTTGAGGAGTCTTGCTCTGTCACCCAGGCTGGAGTGCAGTGGTGCAGTCTCAGCTCACTGCAAGCTGTACCTCCCAGGTTTAATCAATTTTCCTGCCTCAGCCTCCTGTGTAGCTGGGATTACAGAGGTCAGATACCACACCACTCCCAGCTAATTTTTGTATTTTTAGCAGAGACAGAGTTTCACCATGTTGGCCAGGCTGGTTTCAAACTCCTGACTTCAGGTGATCTGCTTGCCTTGGCTTCCCAAGGTGCTGGGATTACAGGCATGTGCCACTGCACCCAGCCCGGCTAATTTTTATTTTTTATTTTTTGTAGAGATGGGATCTCACTATGTTGCCCAGACTGGTCTTGAACTCCTGGCCTCAAGTGATCTTTCCTCCAGCTTTCCAAAGCGCTGGTATTACAGGCATGAGGCACTGTGCCTAGCCTCACACCAGTCTTTTAATGGATTTGAAGGAATGCAATTTAATATTTTTTCTATTGTTAAGGAAAAAACAGTTTGCTATGAATTTAGTTATTTCCTATATGGTAATCAGTGTGAGAGTGCACCTACTTGTAACATTGAGCTAGTCATACTGCAAAGCAGGGATGCCATGAGGAGCACAGATGATGTCTATAAAGGGTCTTGCAGTGTGCCTGCTATACTATAGATGCTCAAAAGTAGTGGGTATTATATATGTTTGAAGAGATTTGTGTATTTATTTCATACTTTCACCTGTTATCCATCTTGCCATTTTATTCATGCTATGTAGAGGAAAGTAATGAAGTCTTCCCAAGTATTCCATACCTACCATTTCTCAGTATCTGCTAAAGCATTTTTCCTGCTGGAGGATTAAGATATTTTATGAATGATTTGGTTTCCCTGTTCCCATGTGATGCAGAATTATAGTTGTGGTTTCCAGCGAGATGACTATGCCACAGTTATTTTCTTGTGCTTGTATAATAAGAGCGTTTTGGTGTTTCTGCTATGTTCTAGACACTTACACTATACAGCTCATTTCCATATTGTATTTCATATGCAACACCCTATTGTGGTGAGTTTTCTGTAAAAGTAGGATCAAGGGAGGAGGAAGTGAGAGGACAAGACAGTGGAAGGCCAGAGTTGATCCAAGCCATGGAATTTTGGATGGAGTGGATATAGGTTAGATTTAGAGAAAAAAGTGGATGTCTGTTAGTTTCTTCTATCCTTGGAGGAGTGAGTACTTTGAACAGGAGTTATTACAGAATTGCAGGGAGATTCATCTACTGGGCAACATAGAAATTAAGTTGCTTTCCTTATTCACCTAACCCAATTTTCTAGAGACCTTGCTACTGCATTATGAGATGGTAAAACAAACTAATAAAACATGGAAATCAAAACAATGTTCTACTTTTTTTCTTCCTTTTTAAAGAACCAATAACCTTTATTATTAATTAGGTGCATTACTAATGAGCATTACTTCATTACTAATTAGTTACATGCAATTTTAACAAAATTTAAACTTCTTTGCATGAAACACACACAAGAAGCTGGGAAAGGAAAGGAAAGTGGAAGGAAACTAACATTTTTTGAGGCCAGACATGGTGATGAAACACTTTCCATTACTGTATTCAGTGCTAACAGTAACCCATGAGGTGTAAGTATTCGGATTCTCATTATGTAGACTGGGTAATAGAAACACATTTTATTGGTTTTATTTTGTTTTTTGAGACAGTCTCACTCTATCGTCCAGGCTGGAGTGCAGTGGTGCAATCTCAGCTTGGTGCAACCTCCGCCTCCCGGGTACAAGAGATTCTTGGGCCTCAGCTTCCCGAGTGGCTGGGATTACAGGTGTGAACCATTAAGCCTGGCTAATTTTTGTATTTTTAGTAGAGATGGGGTTTCACCATGTTGGTCAGTCTGGTCTTGAACTCCTGACCTCAAGTGATCCACCTGTCTGGGCCTCCCAAAGTGCTCAGATTACAGACATCAGCCACCGTGCCCAGCTTTTCTCTATTTTTTATATGTAGAAATAGAGATGGGGTTTTATCATGTTACCCTGAATTCAAGCTATCCGCCCGCTTCAGACTCTCAAAGCAGGGATTACAGGCATGCATCACCATGCCCAGCATTGTTCAGTATTTATTAAGTGAGCAGTATAGCATTAAGAACTCACATGCTCATTGTCCTATATACTCTTACAACAACCCTATGAAATATACATTTTACCTTAATTTGTAAAGTAATACACTGAGGCTTAGAGAGGCCAAGTAACTTGCTTAAGAACATAGTTCATCTGGGATTAGGATCCCTGGACTGAATGGTCTATATCTCTGAGCTAAGGCAATGAGGAAAATGTGAAGGGCCCAGAGGATGGAGAGGAGTGAGATTCAGAGGTGGACTGGTTGAGGAATAAGTCATGCTGAAGTTATTGCTGTCATCTTTTAGACTTGTGAAATCAGGAAAGATGTTAGCATCTTCTAGGTTCATTTCACAAAAAATACAAAAATGTTAACATGATTTAAATACTTAAACTCTTTGAGTTTGTCAATTCTACTGCTGCTATATTTTAATATTAAGGTGTTCTTTTAACTGTGTTTAACTCTTTTTTTTTTTTTTTTGAGACGGAGTCTTGCTCTGTTGCCCAGGCTGGAGTGCAGTGGTGCGATCTTGGCTCAATGCAAGCTCCGCCTCTCGGGTTCACACCACTCTCCTGCCTCACCCTCCAGAGTAGCTGGGACTACAGGCATCTGCCATCACGCCCAGCTAATTTTTTTTTTTTGTATTTTTAGTAGAGACAGGGTTTCACCATGTTAGCCAGGATGGTCTTGATCTCCTGACCTTGTGATCCGCCCACCTCGGCTTCCCAAAGTGCTGTGATTACAGGCGTAAGCCACTGCGCCTGGCCTGTGTTTAACTCTCTCTCCATTTTAAAATTTTTACTTAAAATATTTTTAGTGAGACCCTGTCTCAAAAAAAAAAAAATGTTGGTCAGGTGTGGGGGCTCACACCCAATTACAGGTGTAATCCCAGCACTTTGGGAGGCTGAGACAGGAGGATCTCTTGAGCCCTGGTGTTTGAGACAAGCCTGGGTAACAAAGTGAGAGCCCCGTCTTTACAAAAAATACAAAAATTAGCTGGGTATGGTGGTGAGTGCCTGTAGTCCCAGATACTAGGGATGCTGAGGTAAGAGGATTGCTTCAGCTGGGGAGATGGAGGCTGCAGTGAGCTATGATTGCACCACTGCACACTAACCTGGGCAAAATACCCTGTCTCAGAAAAAAAGAGTTTTTAGCCTCCCTGGACCTTATTTCCCTCTGAATCCTGGTCTGGTAATTCTTCACTATCATAGTAATGGTTCACTCCCCTATTCCTTCAAGCAGATGACTTCGTATTTTGTCCACCTTTTCTAGTTATCTTCAGCAGGGGATTTCTCCCAAAGTATCAATTTCATTATCACTAGAAGAGCAAGTTTCTTATTCTCTTTAACTTAATAAGTGTAAGGCTATATTATGATGCAATTACCATGGAGCTAGCCTATCCTGACGCTAGCAGCAAACTTGTTTAATACTTAGATGTATCTATCTATCTATCTATCTATCTATCTATCTATCTATCTATCTCTCTCTACTTTAAAAAGAAATTTATAAAAAGAGATGGGGTTTCACCATGTTGCCCCACGCTGGTCTTGAACTCCTGGGCTCAAGAGATCCAACTGCCTCTTCCTCCCAAAGTGCTGGGCTTACAAGAGTGAGCCACCTAGCCCAGCCTTAGTACTATATTTATCTGGGAGAGGTTCCAGTGCCCCAAAATACTGTGTTCTGTTAATATCTCCAAAATTTTTTTTGGAGATAGAGTCTTACTCTGTCACCCAGGCTAGAGAACAGTATAGTGACATCTCAGCTCACTACAACCTCTGCCTCCTGGGTTCAGGCAATTCTCATGCCTCTACCTCCCAAGTAGGTGGGACTACACTCATGCACCACCATGCTAATATTTGTATTTTTAGTAGAAATGGGGATTCACTGTGTTGGCCAGGCTGGTCTCGGACTCCTGACCTCAAGCCTTCTGCCTGCCTTGGCCTTCCAAAGTGCTGAGATTACAGGTGTGAGCCACCATGCCCAGACTTCCAGTTTTTATATTAAATGAGTTTTAACTGCTCATTACATAGTTCATGTGTACATTGCTTTCTTTAGTGACAGCCATGGTTCTCCACTGCTGCAGTTGCACAGACTGAGAGTCAAGTGCTGTAACACATGCTTTTCTTTTTTTGTGCGTGACAGGGTCCTGCTCTGTTGCCCAGTCAGGAGTGCAGTGGTGTGATCATGGCTCACTGCTATCTCAACCTCCCAGACTTAAGTGATTCTCCCACCTCAGCCTCCTGAGTAGCTGGGACCAGAGGAAGGTAAAACCATGCCCAGCTATTTTTTTTAAGAGTGATGGGTCTCACTATGTTGCCCAGGCTGGTCTCAAACTCCTGGGCTTAAGAAATTCTCCTCCCTTGGCTTCCCAAAGTATTGGGATTACAGGCATGAGTCACCATGCCCATCTACTACATGCTTTTCATATCCAATATTGCATATAACTCTAATGTCAGCATTTTCCCTCATTGAATCTACTGGAGGTTGACTTGCTCATGGTCCTGTCATTGGGATTTGGATCTCCCCAATGATATCCTCATCTTGTATAAGATAATATTTCAAGTTGGACGGCCCAGGAGGAAATAACACTTGATTTTCAAAACATATAGGCCAGGCACAGTGGTACACAGCTGTAATCCCAGCACTTTGAGAGGCCAAGGTGGGATAACTCTTGAGGCCAGGAGTTTGAGACCAGCCTGGGCAACATATCAGGATCCTGTCTCTACAAAACAAAAAAAAAACTGGAGGCTGAGGTGGAAGGATCACTTGAGCCCAGGAATTAACTGCATGTCTGCCTTGAGCCATGACCGCACTAGTGTACACCACCCTGGGTGACAGAGCAAGGCCCTGTCTCTTAATAAATATTTTTAAAAATCTAAAGCTATTTCATCACACGCATCATAAGTGAAAGAGAATTGTCAGGTATAGTGATCCTTCATCCTCTCAAAACCCACTAACACTTCATTTGTTATGATGATTAGCAAAAGTAGCCCTGAAAATATGGATATGTTTATAAGGTTAGAAATGTAATCACAGCATTAGTGAAAGCAGTTTGACATTCTCTTTTTAGATATTTTATGTTTGTGGCTACATAATAGGTGTACATATTTATCAGGGTTATATATATTTATGGTTTTTTTTTTTTTGAGATGGAATTTTGCTCTTGTCACCCAGGCTGGAGTGCAATGGCACAATCTCAGCTCACTGCAACCTCTGCCTCCCAGGTTCAAGAGATTCTCCTGCCTCAGCCTCCCGAGTAGCTGGGATTACAGGTGTGTGCCACCATGCCCTGCTAATTTTTTGGTATTTTTAGTAGAGACAGGGTTTTGCCATGTTGGCCAGGCTGGTCTTGAACTCCTGACCTCAGGTGATCCATCCACCTCGGCCTCCCGAAGTATTGGGATTACAGGTGTGAGCCACCATGCCCAGCCGAAAATCCATTTTAAAAGCCTAATTTTTTACTTCTATTTGCTTCAGTGTTTTTCATCTGTTAAATGGAGTAAATAATAATAACACCTGTTACATCTACCTCTGATGATTGTTTTTAGATATGTGATGAAGGGCTGGACGCAGTGGCTCATGCCTGTAATCCCAACAATTTGGGAGGCTGAGGTGGGAGGATCGCTTGAGCCTAGGAGTTCAAGACCATCCTGGGCAACATAGACCACATCTCTACTAAAATTTTTTTAAAAAATTACCCCTTCATGGTAGCACACGCTTGTAGTCCCAGCTAGTAGGGAGGTTGAGGCAGGAGGATCACTTGTGTGTTTGTTTTCCCAGCCAGTTGCTGTGGAAGGAGAATGCTTTCTTCATGGCCTCATCTGTCGTTTTGGGTCCCTCTGAAGAAAACTAGTTTCCACTGTGTAACAGGCAGGCATGTAACTATTTAAAGCACAGTTCAGTCCTAAAAGGGTCTAGGAGAACCTACTGATGTACTAGGGTGAAGCAGTGCATTGTGGGAATCACAAAGCAAATAGTACTCCAGAAAGACAAATATCAGAAGCTTCCCCTTCCATTTTTTTTTCTTTTTTTTTTCGAGACAGGGTCTTGCTCTGTTGCCCAGGCTAGAGTGCAGTGGTGATCATGGCTCACTGCAGCCTTGAGCTCCTGGGCTCAAGCAATTCTCCCACCTCAGCCTCCCGAGTAGCTTGGACTACAAGTGTGCACCACCATGCCTGGCTAATTTTTTGAATTTTTGTAGTGATGGGATCTCACTATGTTGCCCAGGCTGGTCTCAAACTCCTGGTCTCCAGTGATCCTCCCACTTCAGCCTCCCAAAGTGCTGAGATTACAGGTGTGAGCCACCTCACCTCGGCCCCCTTCTCCATATGCCTCCAGAAACATGTCCCTGGAGAGTAGCCTGCTCCCACACTGTCACTGGATGTCATCAGGTCAATAAAATCTCCTGCGATTGTGTATCTCAGACATTTCTGTGTCTTTCATCCTCACCCTGGGACCCTAAGGGAAGAGGGCCTGAGTGTCAGTAACTCTGGGCCTCCCCTAAAGAGAAATGGAGATGGTGGCTCATCCAGGAAGTGCAGGAGCAGGGGGTTCCTGGTTCTCGGGCCACATGTGATCTCTGCCCACCCAGGGCCTGTCCCAGCCTGCAGGTATTGCTGTGTGGTGGGAAAACCCACTTCCCTTGTGCACAGCCTTTGAGAGGGGATCGTGGCCTCAGCTCCAGGGGTTCCTGGCCAGGGCCAAGCGCTCCTTCTGCAGAGGCCTGCACACCTCACCCCTTTGACTTATATTTCCGTGGCTTCCCCTCCCCACCTGCCCCCCAGCCCTCCCAGACTGGCCAGCCCCTCAGTAGCCCTCCTTGGCCAGGGAGAGGAGCACGGCCTTGGGTGTGTTCTTGAAAAGGGCCGCCCGGTTCTGCTGCTGCCCCTTCTTCACCCAGTGGCCATAGATTCGGAAAGCATAGGCATCGATGAGCTGGCACGGAAGCTGGAGGGAGTAGCGGTGGGTCTCGGATGACGATCTCCCAGGTCACCGGCTTCACCTGGCGGTACTAGTAGTAGATCCGCACTGAAGCCAGCACGGTCAGGGCGATCACCTGCAGGGCCAGGCAGAGTAGCTGGGCTGCAGTAACCCCTGCCAGGCCCTGCCCCTCCAGCAAGGGACTCTCTGGGCTCGTTTGCCACGAAGTCTTGGGTGGCTTCTGCGGGGCCCTCCTAGTGTCCCCCACTTCCCACTTGGCCAGCATCCGCAGGGTCGGAGTCAGTGGGCTGACACCTGCCATCCCTGAAGCCATCACAGGGCGGCTGGGAGGGGAGGGGTGGGTACCCTGGAAACCCGCGGGGTGTAAGGACCCCTGGGAGAGGAGAGGGCTTAGAGGTTTGCACTTGGGGAGCTGGTGACAACTGCCACAGGGCTTGGGTCAGGACACTTTGTACTTTGAACTTCCCGCGTGGGCTGAAGTGCCGCACTTCCTCCACCAGTACTGCTGGAAGAAGGGGTGTGCCAAGGCCTCTTCCGCTGTGCAGCAGTCTGGGGTTGCACCATCAGGAATCGGGAGACCTGGGAGGGGAGGAGAGGGGACCCGAGAACGTTAAGGCAGGTCCCCTCCAGCATGTCAGGAGAGGTGGGGCCTCCTTGGGCAAGGGAGCCTGGCATCGCGGCCCTGAGCCCAGGAGCCAGTCGGCCTCGCCTCTCACCAGGTCCTTCACGGTGTCCAAGTAATCGTCCCACTCGGGCGATCCAAACTGGTAGTTGCTGCTTATGATCATCCTCAGCACCAGCATCTGCTTCCGGTGGCAGAAAGGTGGGGAGCCAGCCAGTAGCGTGTACATGATGACGCCAGTGCTCCAACTGGACGTGAGAGGGCCCAAGGCCACTTACCCATTGCCAGGGGCACAGACCCCGCCCTGCCTGCTTCCTCCCTCACCCAGCCCAGGCAGGTGATCCTCCTCCCCCGGCGCACTCACATGTCCACCTCCTTCCCGTAGCCCGGATGGTCCTCATTCATGCAGCTCTCGATGATCTCAGGGGCCAGGTAACTGGGGGTCCCGTAGACTTCTGCAGGAACAGTCATCATCAGGACAGGTCAGCAGGGCTCTCAGAAGAGGAAGTCCAGGCCAGGCACAGTGGCTTATGTCAATAATCCCAGCACTTTGGGAGGCCGAGACAGGCAGATCACTTGAGGCCAAGAGTTTGAGACCAGCTTGGCCAACATGGTGAAACCCCATATCTACTAAAAATACAAAAATTAGCTGCGTGTGGTGGCACATGCCTGTAGTCCCAGTTACTCAGGAGGCTGAGGCAGGAGAATCGCTTCAACCCGGGAGGCGGAGGTTGCAGGGAGGCGGAGGTTGCAGTGAGCCGAGATCGCCCGACGGCACTCCAGCCTTGGGCAACAGAGCAAGACTCCATCTCAAAAAAACAAAACAAAACAAAAGTGGAGAATTACTTTTCAAGTGTACATGAAATATATTTTCAAGTGTAATTTTTTGTTGTTGAAAGTTGATGAAATCCTTTTTTTTAATTCTTCAATAGTAAAGCAATTGTATCCTACTTCTGCTCCATATATATATATATATTCATATATTCCTCGTATTAATGGTAGCTGTTTTTAATATAGTTGCCTCTGATCTCCTGAGCACACACAGTGTCAGTGACTGCCCTGAAACAGCATATCAAATGTGTGTTCGTGTTTGCCAGCATTCTTCCAGTGAAAGGGTCCAAAGCTTTTGCTAGATTTTCAAAGAGTCTATAATTCCTACTGTCCCCTAACACCCCAAAAATCTTTTTTAGGCTCTAGAAAAGAAATAATCTAAAAATGATTTTTAAATTGCTAACCTTAAGTAACTGAATATGTGTATTTAAGCAACTTAAGATTATTCAACAATGTAACTGTGATTGTAAATACATTAAATTAGAAATCAGAGAGAATTAAATATCTATTCCTACTTATATAACGCATCTATAAAATGTTTATTTTACTTTATCCTTGCGAAGGAGCAGGTAATTTTGCCACCTAAATTATTATTTAAATAACTCTAGGGGGAAAATAAGAGACTGCAGAGAAAACATGCAATGATGTTTTAAAATCTTCTTTTAGGCCAGGCATGGTAGCTCACACCTGTAACCCCAGCACTTTGGGAGACCAAGGCAGGCAGATCACAAGGTCAGGAGTTCGAAACCAGCCTGGCCAACATGGTGAAACCCTGTCTTTACTAAAAATACAAAAATTAGCTGCGTGTGGTGGTGCACCCCTGTAATCCCAGCTACTTGATAGGCTGAGACAGTGGAATTGCTTGAACCCAGGAGGCAGAGGTTACAGTGAGCCAAGATCGTGCCACTACACTTCAGCCTGGGTGACAGAGCAGGACCCCATCTCAAAGAAAAAAAAGAATTTTTTAAATTCGAAATTTAAGTATTAAAATCCCTGTATAGTAAAACTGCTATGTCTTTGGAAAAACAATCCCCCGCTTTACATACCTTCAACTGTATCACATCTAAAGGAACAGAAATTAGTGATTTAGCACATTTAAAGTAAAGCATGCTAAAATTTCAATTAAAGGCAAATGCATAGCTTTCACAATTAAATTATTAAGGTATGTGCCCTAAATAAAAAATTTAAAGTAAAATTCGCTAAAGCTAATTTATTTCCCAAATTATGTTCATAATCATTACAGTAAATCACTATAAAATATGCTGTGCAATTATCTTCTGAAAGTCTGTTCAAAGTTCTAAACCTGCCAAATGTGTGTACTTTCGCAAAGAAATTTGCAATATTTAACAGTTAAGATACTATAAGTTTTTTAGCCTTGTAAAAATAATCTGACCAAATACACTCAAATACTGTGAAAAATGTTCATGCATATTTAAAATGAATTTTTTGAAGTCCCTCACCAGTAAAAATGATCTTTCAAATTTTTAATTTTTAAATTAACACCTCATTTCATCATCTTTATTAATTTTTAGAAAATCAAAACAAGAAATTGTGCTTACAATGTAGAAAATGTAGGGAGATCGCTTTTTGTCTTCACATTTACTGTTTTTTTCTGAGTAAAACCTTTTATTAAATGGCTGGAAAAACCATTTAAGTTATATGAAGTTATATATTTAAGTTATATATTTAAGTTATGTAAAAAGCCTGCCTGCTTTTTAATAGGAAACTCTTACCCACACACATATAGCAGCAAAGTTTATAAACCTATCAGTGAAATTAAAAACCCAGACAAAGAAATGAAAAAAGCCTAGTAAAACAAGAAAAAGTAAATGGTTACAACATAACCTGAATATGAAACTAATCCCCAAAGATTTAGCTCCTTCTAGGGTTTTCTTTATAAGGTTAAAATTCCTGCAAGCCACACCCCTTCATGTGACCAATAAGAGAATTAGAGCCACCACAGAAGGATGACCTAGTCAAGTTCACTTTGCTGCATTACACATGACCCACATTTGGAATATAATAAAAGACAATCATGTTTCATTTAAATTATGTTTGGTGGTCTTTCCTAAAGAACACAGTAAGCAAGTATATTTACATGCTTTTGCTCCAGTGGTTAGTAGGTTGCTATGTGCAAAATTTTCCAAAGGAATTTCACTTAAATAATTTCAAAGATCAATAAAAATTTCCAAAAATTTTTAGTTATAATGGTTGCCAACATCTTGTTTTGCCAAGTAAGAGTATTAAAACCAAAGATAAACAAAACTCCAACTACTATCATTATAATTTCATGAAAGGACACTTGAATAAAGAGTAAAAGATACACCTCAATAAGTTTAATTTTTTGAAACAACTTGAAATTTTCAGAAAATTGTCTTTATTTCTATTTAGATCGATGAAAACTCTTGTCATGTATCAAGAATTCTGAGGATCTGCCTTTGAAACCTGTATTTTTAGTCATTTACTTATAAAGTTTGCCCAAGATGACTGATGGAGAAGGCTATAGAGAACAGAAAAATAAGTTAACATAAGGGAAAGAGAGACTAGGGAGCAAGATATCTATTGTCACAATTGGTACCAATGATAGACATCAGTTCTGAAAAAGAGTCACCAATCAAATGTGACTTTAAGTAAAGGGTACAAGGAAGATCAAGGAAAAAGGAGGCAGACAAAACTTTAAGAAGGAAGTTTAGCAAAAAAAAAAAAAAAAAAAAAAAAGATGGCTCTCCTCTTACCGGGGATCACTTCCTTTAAGAGATCAGCAATCTGGATATGACCAACTCTTCTCCTCTTTCCTTTACAAACCCTTGCTGAATTTTCTTTGATATGAGAGGTTACTCTTTCTGTGGCTTTCAACCACTCACTACCCTCCATACAGGGATGCAAGATACATTCTGTAAGCATATAAGAAGTATTTAGATGGCTCCATACTTTCTTTGTCAGAAACAGGTAATTACTGGATAGCTGTTAAGAACAGCATCCACTTCTCCAGATCTAACCTTGAGATAAATTATAGCTGACTGGACAAGTTCAGCTACTCTTCAGATTTAAACCACACAATCTAATTCTTGTTTTAAGTCCCTCTAAAATAGAATTGTTCTAGGACTATTGACATAACAGAAAGGCACATTTTCAGACATCTACACATATATTTTTAATCTTTATTTTTATTTCATGTTTCAATAGACTCTACAGTTTGCCCAAACTACCTCAGAAAATTTAAATATAAGATAAATTGATCTACAATCATACATTACTTAACAATGGGAATACATTCTGAGAAATTAATTTATCATTGCATGAACAACACAGAGTATACTTACACAACCCTAGATAGTATAACCTACTACACACTTAGGCTCTATGGTATAGACATTATAATATTACGGGAACTTGTCATATATGCAGTCAGTCATTGACTGAAACATCGTTATGTGGCACATGAATGTATTTTACTATTCAATGTCTAACATCTTTAAAAAGTTAGCTTATCTTCTAAAACCAAAGTGTGATTAGCACTTTGGGAAGCATCATATTGCCAACAATCAATTTAACTATAAATTTTCAATAGGTTCACCTTCCATTCCAAAATTCTTGCAACTTTCGACCCCTCCCCACTACCACTGTCAAAGAATACATTCCTATGGAGAGTCGCATGAGAGCAATACAAAAAGAACATTAAAAGAAGCCTAAACTCACACCTGCTTACTTCACTTATTTAAACATTAGTCTTTCTTTTCAGTTATTCTTGGATATGTACTGAGCTATGAGGAAAAGCACCTTACATCAGCTAAAGCACCATAAGTTGTTAATAATTTTTAAAGAAAAGTTTAATAAAATATTTTTTGAAATTGCTAACATTTTCAAGACAATGTAAGATACAATCAATAGATAAAACTTCTAAGTGATTTCTTTCAGATTCAGTTTGTGTTCTTCAATGAAGTAGTAACAATCTAATTTATCAAATCATATCAAATATCTATTCCAAGTACAGCCATTCCCCAGTTACCTTGGTCTTCTAAAATGTTTGTTTTCCTACTTATTGTTAACATAAAATAAAATATTATGTTAGCTCCTGGGGAAATTTGCTTTTTAGCAATGCAAACATTTCTTTTTTTATTTGCATAGGCAAAGTAGGGTAATCATTCCTCTCTTTAAGCGACATATTTCCAGTAGAATTCTACTATTTTTGTTTCACCTGGGATATAGTATAATTCACGTATCCACACAGTAGAATTTTGTATATGCAGGAAAAAACTTAATGATATTGTAAAGTTTACTATTTTTCTCTGAATTATCTTACCTGCATCCATCAGCACTACTTTAAATAGCCTTATATTTGAGACATGGGAACAAATAAACAATTCCTTATATCTACAACATCACAACTGTTTAAAAAATATATTGAATAAGTACATATATTTAACAAAAAATATATACTGATAGTAGTTTCTTTTAACATACAAGATTATCAGTAGCTTTGTGTATGTGTTTCTTTTACTGAGTTAAAAAGTTCATCATTAATGAGTTTAAAGTGAATTAGGATATTATGAACAATATTCACTGTGACGGATCCTTACATTTTTGTGCCAAAGTTGCTCAAAACATTTTGCTAAAAAGAGATAAAAAGCCTTCCTTTTGTTCATATATTGAGACTTACCTCAAACAGAAACTTGTATTTTAAATATTTAAGAAGGGACATTTTTCTATTCCATTATAAGGCATGTTAACCACTATGGAAAACAGTATAGCTACTTTGAGAACTTGTCTTTCATATTTATATAGTTGATCCTTTAGGATTATCATCTAATGGTAGACAACACCTAGCTACATATGCATATTATTTAAAATGGTTTTGTAATACAGCTGTGCACTACATATGACATTTCAGTCAACAAGGGACTGCATATATAATGGTGGCCCATTGGAACTGAAAAATTCCTACTGCCCAGTAGCATCTTTCTTTTTTTTTGTCTTTAAGTGATAGAAGTATAGGTATTTGTTTTGTTCTGTCTACTTTCCTATAATTGCTTTTTTTATTATTTTTGTACTTTAAGTTTTAGGGTACATGTGCACAACGTGCAGGTTTGTTACATATGTATACATGTGACATGTTGGTGTGCTGCACCCAGTAACTCATCATTTAGCCTTAGGTATATCTCCTAATGCTATCCCTCCCCCCTCCCCCCACCCGACAACAGTCCCTGGTGTGTGATGTTCCCCTTCCTGTGTCCATGTGGTCTCATTGTTCAATTCCCCCCTATAAGTGAGAACATGCGGTGTTTGGTTTTTTGTCCTTGCAATAGTTTGCTAAGAATGATGGTTTCCAGCTTCATTCATGTCCCTACAAAAGACATGAACTCATCATTTTTCATGGCTGCATGGTATTCCATGGTGTATATGTGCCACATTTTCTTAATCCAGTCTATCGTTGTTGGACATTTGGGTTGGTTCCAAGTCTTTGCTATTGTGAGTAGTGCCGCAATAAACATACGTGTGCATGTGTCTTTATAGCAGCATGATTTATAATCCTTTGGATGTATAACCAGTAATGGGATGGCTGGGTCAAATGGTATTTCTAGTTCTAGGTCCCTGAGGAATCGCCACACTGACTTCCACAATGGTTGAACTAGTTTACTACTAGTTTCTAGTAGTAAAAGTGTTCCTATTTCTCCACATCCTCTCCAGCACCTGTTGTTTCCTGACTTTTTAATGATCACCATTCTAACTGGTGTGAGATGGTATCTCATTGTGGTTTTGAATTGCATTTCTCTGATGGACAGTGATGATGAGCATTTTTTTCATGTTTTTGGGCTGCACAAATGCCTTCTTTTAAGAACTGTCTGTTCATATCCTTCACCCACTTTTTAATGGGGTTGTGTTTTCTTGAAAATTTGTTTGAGTTCATTGTAGATTCTGGCTATTAGCCCTTTGTCAGATGAGTAGGTTGCAAAACGTTTCTCCCATTCTGTAGGTTGCCTATTCACTCTGATGGTAGTTTCTTGTGCTGTGCAGAAGCTCTTTAGTTTAGTTAGATCCCATTTGTCAATTTTGGCTTTTGTTGCCATTGCTTTTGGTGTTTTAGACATGAAGTCCTTGCGCATGCCTATGTCCTGAATGGTATTTCCTAGGTTTTCTTCTAGGGTTTTTATGGTTTTAGGTCTAACATGTAAGTCTTTAATCCATCTTGAATTATTTTTTGTATAAGGTGTAAGGAAGGGATCCAGTTTCAGCTTTCTACATATGGCTAGCCAGTTTTCCCAGCACCATTTATTAAATAGGGACTCCTTTCCCCGTTTCTTGTTTTTGTCAGGTTTGTCAAAGATCAGATAGTTGTAGATATGTGGCATTATTTCTGGGGGCTCCGTTCTGTTCCATTGGTCTATATCTCTGTTTTGTTACCAGTACCATGCTCTTTT
Organism: Homo sapiens; assembly: GCF_000001405.40. Classification (NCBI taxonomy): domain Eukaryota; kingdom Metazoa; phylum Chordata; class Mammalia; order Primates; family Hominidae; genus Homo; species Homo sapiens. Next base: position 50,254,556 of record NC_000011.10, read on the forward strand.
GGTTACTGTAGCCTTGTAGTATAGTTTGAAGTCAGGTAGCGTGGTGCCTCCAGCTTTGTTCTTTTGGCTTAGGATTGACTTGGCAATGTGGGTTCTTTTTCAGTTCCATATGAACTTTAAAGTAGTTTTTTCCAATTCTGTGAGGAAAGTCATTTGAAGCTTGATGGGGATGGCATTGAATCTATGAATTACCTGGGGCAGCATGGCCATTTTCATGATATTGATTCTTCCTACCCATGAGCATGGAATGTTCTTCCATTTGTTTGTATCCTCTTCTATTTCATTGAGCAGTGGCTTGTAGTTCTTCTTAAAGAGGTCCTTCACATCCCTTGTTATTTGGATTCCTCGGTATTTTATTCTCTTTGAAGCAATTGTGAATGGGAGTTCACTCATGATTTGGCTCTCTGTTTGTCTATTATTGGTGTATAAGAATGCTTGTGATTTTTGCACATTGATTTTGTATCCTGAAACTTTGCTGAAGTTGCTTATCAGCTTAAGGAGATTTTGGGCTGAGATGATGGGGTTGTCTAGATATACAATCATGTCATCTGCAAACAGGAGCAATTTGACTTCCTCTTTTCCTAATTGAATACCATTTATTTCCTTCTCCTGCCTGATTGCCCTGGCCAGAATTTCCAACGCTATGTTGAATAGGAATGGTGAGAGAGGGTATCCCTGTCTTGTGCCAGTTTTCAAAGGGAATGCTTCCAGTTTTTGCCCATTCAGTGTGATATTGGCTGTGGGTTTGTCATAGATAGCTCTTATTATTTTGAGATACGTCCCATCAATAACTAATTTATTGAGAGTTTTTAGCATGAAGCATTGTTGAATTTTGTCAAAGGTCTTTTCTGCATCTATTGAGATGATCATGTGGTTTTTGTCTTTGGTTCCATTTATATGCTGGATTACGTTTGTTGATTTTCATATGTTGAACCAGCCTTGCATCTCAGGGATGAAGCCTACTTGATCATGGTGGATAAGCTTTTTGATGTGCTGCTGGATTTGGTTTGCCAGTATTTTATTGAGGATTTTTGCATCAATGTTCATCAAGGATATTGGTCTAAAATTCTCTTTTTTGGTTGTGTCTCTGCCTGGCTTTGGTATCAGGATGATGCTGGCCTCATAAAATGAGTTAGGGAGGATTCTTTCTTTTTCTATTGATTGGAATAGTTTCAGAAGGAATGGTACCAGCTCCTCCTTGTACCTCTGGTAGAATTCGGCTGTGAATCCATCTGGTCCTGGAATTTTTTTGGTTGGTAAAATATTAATTATTGCCTCAATTTCAGAGCCTATTATTGGTCTATTCAGAGATGCAACTTCTTCCTGGTTTAGTCTTGGGAGGGTGTATGTGTTGAGGAATTTATCCGTTTCTTCTAGATTTTCTAGTTTATTTGTGTAGAGGTGTTTATAGTATTCTCTGATGGTAGTTTGTATTTCTGTGGTATCAGTGGTGATATCCCATTTATCATTTTTTATTGCGTCTATTTGATTCTTCTCTCTTTTCTTCTTTATTAGTCTTGTTCGTGGTCTATCAGTTTAGTTGATCTTTTCAAAAATCAGCTCCTGGATTCATTGATTTTTTGAAGGGTTTTTGTGTCTCTATTTCCTGCAGTTCTGCTCTGATCTTAGTTATTTCTTGCCTTCTGCTAGCTTTTGAATGTGTTTGCTCTCGCTTCTCTAGTTCTTTTAATTGTGATGTTAGGGTGTCAATTTTAGATCTTTCCTGCTTTCTCTTGTGGGCATTTGGTGCTATAAATTTCCCTCTACACACTGCTTTGAATGTGTCCCAGGGATTCTGGTATGTTGTGCCTTTGTACTCATTGGTTTCAAAGAACATCTTTATTTCTGCCTTCATTTTGTTATGTACCCAGTAGTCATTCAGGGGCAGGTTGTTCAGTTTCCATGTAGTTGAGCAGTTTTGAGTGAATTTCTTAATCCTGAGTTCTAGTTTGATTGCACTGTGGTCCGAGAGACAGTTTGTTATAATTTATGTTGTTTTACATTTGCTGAGGAGTGCTTTACTTCCAACTATGTGGTCAATTTTGGAATAGGTGTAGTGTGGTGCTGAAAAGAATGTATATTCTGTGGATTTGGGGTGGAGAGTTCTGTAGATGTCTATTAGGTCCACTTGGTGCAGAGTTGAGTTCAATTCTTGGATATCCTTGTTAACTTTCTGTCTCGATCTGTCTAACGTTGACAGTGGGGTGTTAAAGTCTCCCATTATTATTGTGTGGGAGTCTAAGTCTCTTTGTATGTCTCTAAGGACTTGCTTTATGAATCTGGGTGCTCCTGTATTGGGTGCATGTATATTTAGGATAGTTAGCTCTTCTTGTTGATTTGATCCCTTTACCATTATGTAATGGCCTTGTCTCTTTTGATCTTTGTTGGCTTAAAGTCTGTTTTATCAGAGACTAGGATTGCAACCCCTCCCTTTTTTTGTTTTCCATTTGCCTGGTAGATCTTCCTCCATCCCTTTATTTTGAGCCTATGTGTGTCTCTGCACATGAGATCGGTTTCCTGAATACGGCACACTAATGGGTCTTGACTCTTTATCCAATTTGCCAGTCTGTGTCTTTTAATTGGAGCATTTAGCCCATTTACATTTAAGGTTAATATTGTTATGTGTGAATTTGATCCTGTTATTATGATGTTAGCTGGTTATTTTGCTCATTAGTGGCTGCAGTTTCTTCCTAGCCTTGATAGTCTTTACAATTTGGCATGTTTTTGCAGTGGCTTGTACTGGTTGTTCTTTTTCATGTTTAGTGCTTGCTTCAGGAGCTCTTTTAGGGCAGGCCTGGTGGTAGTAAGATCTCTAAGCATTTGCTTGTCTGTGAAGTATTTTATTTCTCCTTCACTTATGAAGCTTAGTTTGGCTGGATATGAAATTCTGGGTTGAAAATTCTTTTATTCAAGAATGTTGAATATTGGCCCCCACTGTCTTCTGGCTTGTAGAGTTTCTGCTGACAGATCAGCTGTTAGTCTTATGGGCTTCCCTTTGTGGGTAACCCGACCTTTCTCTCTGGCTGCCCTTAACATTTTTTCCTTCATTTCAACTTTGGTGAATCTGACAATTATGTGTCTTGGAGTTGCTCTTCTCGAGGAGTATCTTTGTGGTTTTCTCTGTATTTCCTGAATTTGAATGTTGGCCTGCCTTGCTAGATTGGGAAAGATCTCCTGGATACTATCCTGCAGAGTGTTTTCCAACTTGGTTCCATTCTCCCAGTCACTTTCAGGTACACCAATCAGACGTAGATTTAGTCTTTTCACATAGTCCCATATTTCTTGGAGGCTTTGTTCATTTCTTTTTATTCTTTTTTCTCTAAACTTCTCTTCTCGCTAGGTATATCTCCTAATGCTATCCCTCCCCCCTGTCCCCACCCCACATCACACCCCACAGGTGTGGGCCTGGCTTAAAAATATTATTAACATTTTTTTTTGATGTTCCCCTTCCTGTGTCCATGTGTTGTAATTTTTCTTTTTTTAAAAAAAAAGAGTCAGTCTTGACTCCTACCTCACATCATACACAACTGTCAATTTTGTATGTATACAAGAAAGAATTAAAGTCAGGCATGGTGGCTCACATCTGTAATCCCAGCAGGTGTTGTTACATATGTATACATGTGCCATGTTGGTATGCTGCACCCATTAACCCGTCATGTAAGAAATGTAAGAGAATCACAGACCAAATCACACTGTTTCTGCTTCTAGAACATTTCATCCCATCAGTTTTATTCTGAGGTTTCCTCTCCAGCAAACTTCCTGGGGGCATTTTCTCCCACATCAACAGGTAAGATGTCCAGATGGAACTTTCAAATTTTCTCTGGGGTCTTAACCTGTCTGTCTCCATTTCTTCTCTTTCATCTGCTTACAAAGTTTTTCAAGCCCCATCCTCCTTAAGAACAGATGATAAGCCACATTCTAGGAGAAGATATTTCAATTATTATATTTTACTAAGTATCTTTATCTGGAATATGTTAAAAAGACTAAAACTTCAATAAGAAAGAGCAAATTAATATGCACTTCACAAAAAATTGCTATTGAGTAATATAAAATATGCTCGACATCTTTTGCTATAAAGGAAATGCAAATTAAAAACACAACAAAGCTGGGCACGGTGGCTCACACCTATACTCCCAGCACTTTGGAAGGTCAAGTCGGGTGGATCACCTGAGGCCAGGAGTTCAAGACCAGCCTGGCCAACCTGGTCTCTACTACGACTACAAAAATTTAGACAGCCGCATGCCCCTGTAGTCCCAACTACTCAGGAGGCTGAGTATCTCATGAGATTTTCACGAGAATATCATATCATGAAAATCTCTTGATCCTGGGAGGCAAAGGCTACAGTGAGCCAAGATTGTGCCACTGCACTCCAGCCTGGGCAGCAGAGCAAGACACCATCAAAAAATAAACAAACAAAAACAAACAAAAAAACCACACACAAAATAATACTGCTCTTCATCGGAATCATTTAACCTAAAAAGTGGATAATATCAAGTGTTGCTGAGTATGTGAAGCAATTGGAACATGCATACATGGCTGATGAGACTGTAAACTGCTATATCTACACTGGGAAACTATCTGAAAATATCAACTAAAACTAAATATATATATATATTTATATATATATATATATATATATATATATATATATAACCTATGACCCCAAAACTAGACAGTTACATTTATACCCAAGAGAAGTGCATGAGCATTTCCCTTGAAGGACATGTATCGAAACACTTACAGCGGCATTAGACCTTTCAACCAAAAACTAGGGGTGCTGCAAATGTACTTGGACAGTAAAACGAATTAATGAATCATGATGTACAGTATTCAGATAATGGAATACTCCAGAGCAATAGAAAATAACTACTGCTACTAGCAACAATATATAGAAAATGAATCTAATTTTTTTTTTACAAAAATTGAGTGAAAGAATCCATACTCAAATGAGTACAGACTTGCTATGGTTTGAAAGTGTCCCCTCCAAAGCTTGGGTGTCGCCATGTGATAATTATCGAGAGATAGAGCCTTTAAGAAGATTAAGCCATGAGGGTTCCTTCCTCATGAATAATATTAGGTACCCTTATAATAAGACTTGACAAAGAAAGTTCATCTCTCTATTGCCCTCAGTTTTCTGCCATGTGAGGACACAACAAAAAGGCCATCACCAGACACCAGAGCCAGTGCCTTGATCTTGGACTTCTCAGACTCCAGAACTGTGAGAAAATAAGTTTCTGGGCCGGGTGCCATGGCCCTCTCCTGTAATCACAGCGTTTTGGGAGGCCACAGTGGATGTGGCCAGGATGAGGTCAGGAGTTCAAGACCACCCTGGCAAACATGGTGAAACCCCATCTCTACCAAAAATACAGAAAAATTAGCCAGGCGTGGTGGCACTCGCTTGTAATCCCAGCTACCCAGGAAGCTGAGACAGGAGAATTGCTTGAACCCAGGAGGCAGAGGTTGCAGTGAGCCAAGATCATGCCACTGTATTCCAGCCTGGGCAACAAGAGTGAAACTCTGTCAAGAAGAAGGAAAGAAAGAAAGAAAGAAGGAAGGAAGGAAGGAAGGAAGGAAGGAAGGAAGGAAGGAAGGAAGGAAAGAAGAAATAAAGAAAGAAAGAAAGAAAGAAAGAAAGAAAGAAAGAAAGAAAGAAAGAGAGAGAGGAAGGAAGGAAGGAAGGAAATAAGTTTTTGTTCGTTATAATTTACCAGTCTTGAGTGATTTTGTAGCAGCCCCAAATAGACTACCATCATTTCATATGATCCCATTTAAAACATAAGAAAAGTAATCTATGGAGGTGGAGGTCAGAGTTAGGATAATTGAAATGAGGCAAAAGGCAGCTGTTGGTTGCTGAAAAATTCAGTATCTTGGTCTGAGTTTTGGTTATATATATAATAAGCCATAAGCTGAATAGGTTTCATGCGTTTTATTTTATATAAATGAAGGCTTAAATTTAAATATAAGAAAAAAAAAAAAGAAGGTTCTCCTAGATACTTCCTATCCTCCAGTACATTCTCTCTTTTCCTTAGGGTTGTTTTGTTTTGTTTTGTTGAGACGGAGTCTCACTCTGTCGCATCCTGAAGATTATTAGGACTTCGATGGACTGGATAGTAGAGTGAGTCTAAGCGCCACATCCCTCCATTGCTTCCTCTGGATATGAGGGAAGAGAGGTACGTTTCTTGTCCCTAGGGAGGTAGGCTCGACCAGGAGGGACCTGGTTCATTTCGGCCAGGCTGTCACGGCTTCCAGAGCACCTCGCCGCTGTTTCCGTCCCTCAACAGACCGGCTGAGCTCTTTGGAGGGGTACATGATGTTGGGTTTTGGTTTGCGCTTCAGGAACTGCTGATACTGTAGCTTCTGAGGGAACTGCAGGGATTTCCCGATTTCCTGCGTGCCTGTGTTAAAAGTTAGAAGCGGGATCTGCTGGCAGCTTCGAGACTGAGCATGACGGTGGAAACATCTAATTTTATTAGTTTTTGCTTGAAATGCAAAAGATGAGAAAAAAAGTTCCCGTTTGTTTGCTTCACATATTTCTCTTAGAATGAAGCCGATTGAAAGTTAACTTCACCCTGAAGAAATTCCTCCTGGCGTTTGCAAAGAGCTCCTTTATGCCTCACGTCCAGCTTGGCTCAAAAGGACTCTAAAGAGCCGGAGAGCTGCTGCGGAAAGGCGGAGTCACAGTACAATCGGTGTTAACTACGTGTGCAGCCACCGTCTCCTTAGTCATATTACAGGTGCAGAAGCAGTATAGGTGGATCCCTCACAAGTCGAGTGGGTTAACCTCAGATTGACTTTAGAGATGGTTTGTGACCACCTGGTAGATGGTAGCCGTTACAGCATTTAGAAAGTGAATAAAAGAAAGGATGCATACGGAGGCCCACACGCTTGCTTGGCTTCTGCAGATGGAGAGAGAGAGGTCGCTGTTCTGCCTTCTGGGTGTTGAGTAACCTTGGCATGAAATAGAGCTGAAAATAAAAGCAGATTTTCTTTCAACAAGATAGTATTAACATGCTTGCAGAGTATTTCCCTGTGGATTTCTGCTTAGCACAGTGATACCACAAAGAGCTCTAATCTGGAGGTATGGCTTGTTCCCTAGCTTAGAAGGTGGTCAATCCTGGAGAGTAAGTACAGTGAGGTACAAAAGGATCCTTTGGGATTGGAAGAATAAGCGTTCATTACTTTTATTTATGTAAAACAACAAAATGAGCTTTCTCCTATACTGACTGACCTTGGTCCCTGGAGTTCAGAGTGTTTGCATCTCACACCAGAAGCTTCCTCAGAAGACCCAGAGAAGTACTTTTTACTTCCACCAAATTTCAGCTGAGGTGACCGCTATCTTTTCATCATTTGCTGTGTGTTTGTAGTTAAATCGTTTAAGTTTCAGAGTTTGCGGATCTCCAATGGAAAAAATGACCACCAGCACATCAAATCGTCAACCCCTGGCAGTGTAATCTTTTAGTGAAAGCTTGTAGGGCTTCTGCAACCTGGTTAGGGGGAGTTAGAAAAGGAAACAGAAAAGGACTTGAGCCTTTTAGCTTCCAATCTGAAATCAGACTTGGGCCACACAGTTCTATGGTTTCTGATGATTTCATTTACAGCTAGAAATAGGCTGGATGGCCAGAAATACTACTTGCTTCCCCCATGCGTGGTCCATGTTAGTGATTGATGGGACTGCTTAGAAAGAATAGGTGGATAATCCTAAGCAGCAAATAACCTCAAGTGAATAAACACGAGTCACCTCTGTGTATGAGAGAGAAATGCAGAGGCCAACACAATTCACCTTGACAGAAAATTCCAAAGTTGGGGAATATCATGGACCGCTTCTTACTGGTGTCCCGGGGAAGAAAACAAAACCTGGAGGTACTGGGGATTGAGCCTAGGGCCTCGTGCATGCTCTACCACTGAGCTCTACCCTCTCGGCAACCTAGATCCTTCAGAAAACCCTTTGGTGACAGCCAATATCTGAGCCTGCCCTCTGTGTCAGGATAATCACGATGTTTCCAATTCTGCTGTTAATTCCCTACACGAAGCGCTTCCTCTTTTAGGCACGGCTATACCAAAAGAAAGGTGGCTTGGCCCGGCGCAGTGGTTTATGCCTGTAATGAGAACTTTGTGAGGCTGAGGTGGGTGGATCACGAGGTCAGGAGTTCAAGACGAGCCTGGACAAGATGGTGAAACTCTGTCTCTACTGAAAATATGAAAATTAGCCAGGCATGGTGGCAGGTGCCTGTAATCCCAGCTACTTGGGAGGCTGAAGTACAGAACGGCTTAAACCCGGGAGGCAGAGGTTGCAGTGAGCCGAGATCATGCCACTGCACTCCAGCCTGGGTGACAGAGCAAGACTCCGTCTCAAAACACAACAAGAACAACAACAAAAGGTAGCTTAGTGGTAAAAATAAAGGCACTGTTCCTGATTTGTGGTCAGCCCAAGATCAACTCACCCCAAGGTGGGCTCTCCATCATGTTAGACTTCCTGGAGCATACTTCCGTTCTATCATTTGAGTGTGTCCCGGTATACGACATTCTCTTGCAAATTTTCTGATCATAATTTTCTGTAATCTTTTGACTCTTGGAAGCATGTTGGTGTTTCATATAGTCAAAAAATAAACCTGACTCAAGTGTGTGTGAAAATACCCTAAAATTGAATACAAATAGAGGCAAACTAAAACTGCATTGTGAAACAATAACATAATCCAACTGAAAAGGAAAGAACTGATCTATGAAAATGGTTTATACAGTTTGTTGTTCTAATTGTAAGATTAAAAAGAATTGCAAACAAATCTTGAACTCTGTATCAGGGTTATTTTTGTAGAGCTAGGGCTGTAAGAATTCTGAGATTTTGTGTGAATTTCAGGATTGGGAAAATGAGTGTGTGTGAGCAGGTGTGTTGTTGGAACAAGACTGTCACTGTAAGAGAAAGAAGGTAAAGAATAGTCCTGTTGGTGTTGATGGGAATTGGAGGCATCAATATGAAATTATACATATGTAATTTTATAGGCTGGGCATGGTGGCTCACGCTTGTAATCCCAACACTTTGGGAGGCTGAGACGGGCAGCTCCCTTGAGGTCAGGAGTTCGAGAACAGCCTGGCCAACATGGTGAAACCCCGTCTCTACTAAAAATACAAAAATTAGCCAGATGTGGTGGTGTGTGCCTGTAGTCCCAGCTACTTGGAAGCCTGAGGCAGGAGAATCGCTTGAACTTGGGAGGCGGATGTTGCAGTGAGCCAAGATCCCACCACCGAACTCTGGCCTGGGCGACTTAGCCTTTTCTCAAAAAACAAAAAAAAGTAAAATTTCCCTGCAGATCTGTCTGCTAACTAGGTCTAGAAGAAATACCTCAGAAACAATGAACAAAGATAATAATATTTTGATTTTCAAATACCATTCCCTACTAAAAGGCACCAGAGATACTAATAGAAAGTAGCTACTAGTGTCAACTACACTGACTCCAGGACTGGGCCAGGGAAACTACAAGATGAACCTAAGATATCTTGCTGTGCCAGAATGTTGGGGATGATTGAAAAGAACACAGAAGTGGGCTTGAAGGGAATCTCATTGACCAAATCTGACACACTTTGAACATTAATGATGACAATAAATGATTATCAATCTTGGGAACTTAAATAAATAAATATGGAAGATGGGAAGATTTTCCTTACAGTGGTATGCCAGCTAATAAATGTGGAAGGAAGGATAAAATTTGAAAATCCCCATCAGAAAATTACAAAATCTGGACACCATCAGAATGCTGATAAGTGCAGGCATAATTTATAAGTCAATACTAAAAGTATAGGTAAAATTTTGATGAGGATCAGGATATTTATATAGTCTCAGAGTATTTACCTAGAGCTTACTTATTGATTACAATGAGGAAGATGATACTTTTTCAGGGAAGAAATAGCAGCTACAAACTTAACCAAATGATCAAAGCTAACTTCACTAATAATGGGGAAAACTGACATCACATGCCTCTTGGTGTGATAGAGGATAACATGATTTTTGTGACATTTCTCCAAGTTTCCATAACCTTAATCTTATCATGAGTAGCACAAATTAAGAAACATTCCACAAAACCACTGGCATATACTCTTCAAAAACATCAATGTTGTGAAAGACACGATTGAGCAACTGTTCTAAATTAAAGGAGACTAAAGAGTCAAGACAATTAGATTCATATGTGTCTGTGAAATGGATCCTAGCTTGGGAGAGAAATTTCTGTAAAAGATTGTATTGATACAATTAGTTAAATTTTTAAAGATTGTATATTAGATAATATTATTTTATCAATGTTAAGTTTACTGAATTTGATAATTGTGCTGTGTTAAGGAATTGATCTTGTTTTAAGAAATACACATTGATGAATTTAGGGATTAAAAATATATAATGTGTGAAAATCATTATCAAATAGTTTATAGAAATAATCTTTGAGATATATATCTCAAAGTATGTGTATATATATATATACTTATGTATATGTGTGTGTGTGTGGGTGTGTGTGTATGTGTACATATATATATATATATATATATATATATATATATATATATATATATATATTCCTGTTGGGAGCAAGCTCCCCAAAATCTGGCCATAAACTGGCCCCAAAACTGGCCATAAACCAAATCTCTGGAGCACTGTAACATGTTCATAATGGCCCTAATGCCCAAGCTGGAAGGTTGTAGGTTTATGGGAATGAGGGCAAGGAACACCTGGCCCACCCAGGGTGGAAAATTGCTTAAAGGCATTCTTAAGCCACAAACAATAGCATGAGTGATTTGTGCCTTAAGGACATGCTCCTGCTGCAGTTAACTAGCCCAACCTATTCCTTTAATTCGGCCCATGCCTTCGTTGCCCATAAGGTATACTTTTAGTTAATTTAATATCTATAGAAACAATGCTAATGACTGGTTTGCTGTTAATAAATATGTGGGTAAATCTCTGTTCAGGGCTCTCAGCTCTGAAGGCTGTGAGACCCCTGATTTCCCACTTCACATCTCTATATTTCTGTGTGTGTCTTTAATTCCTGTAGCACCGCTGGGTTAGGGTCTCCCTGACCGAGCTGGTCTTGGCATATTCCACTGTTGCTGATTGTTGGTTGAAGAGGCAAGATATTCAGAAATGATCCCAAGATGTGGACAATATGTGCTTCTCAGGTGGTTCCCATTCCATTTTAAATGTTTCCATGGAGGGACAAAGATACAAATTTCTCAATTTGTATTCAAATCTAACAGGTGTTTTATTCTATTTTCCTGCTTACAATCCCTGTTTGTAAGTCAATCAACTAAGGACATCTGAAGGAAACAGAATTTAATTCTCAGAGTCAGGAAGTGATGAGAAACTGCTTTGGTAGGGAAAGTAATAGTAAATTTGTTCTTTCTTGCATAAATAAAGAAGAAAAAGAAAGAAGAGACAGAGCCAGGGAAAGAAATAGAAGGCATAACAATCCTAAATATGTAACCACCAAACAGCAGAGCTGTAACATATGTAAAGAGAAAAAAATAGTTAACTTAAAAAAAAATAGACAAATCCACAATTACTTTGGAGACTTCAAAACTTCTCTCATAATGATTGATAGAACAACTAAACAAAATCAGCAAGAATGTTGAAGAACTAGGCCGGGTGTGGTGGCTCACGCCTGTAATCCCAGCACTTTGGGAATCTGAGGCAGGTGAATCATGAGGTCAGGAGATCAAGATCATCCTGGCTAACATGATGAAACACAGTCTCTACTAAGAAATACAAAAAAATTAGCCAGGCGTGGTGGCGGGCGCCTGTAGACCCAGCTACTCAGGAGGCTGAGGCAGGAGAATGGCATGAAACCAGGAGGCGGAGCTTGCAGTGAGCCGAGATCGCAGCACTGCATTCTAGCCTGGGCAACAGAGTGAGACTCCGTCTCAAAAAAAAAAAAAAAAAAAATGTTGAAAACTCAAAATCGTCTTCAGCCACCAGAATTCAGCTAACATTTATAAAACAGTCCACACAAGAAGAGAAGAACACACTTGTCAAATCCACAGAGAATATAGGTCAAGGTAAAACATATCCTGGGCCATAAAACAAACCTCAACAAATTTAAAAGAATTAACTAATATGGTATGATCCCTGACCGCAATGAAATTAAACTAAAAATCGGTCACAAAAAGATGACAGAAAAATATCCAAATGCTTGGAAAATGAACAACACACTACTAAACAGTTCATAAAACAAAGAGAAAGCCTTAGTAGACATCAAAAAATAAGTTAACCTGAATAAAACTGAAAATACAATATATTAAAAATTCCAAGACATCCTAAAGGAGTGCTGAGAGAGAAATACACAGCACTAAGTGCACACATTAGAAAAGAAAAAAGTCCCAAATCAGTCCTCTAAACTCTTACTTGAAGAAACCAGGTGGGAAAAAGCGCAAAATAACCGAAAGCAAATAGAAGAAAGGAAATAATAAAAAATAAAAGCAGAAATCAATGAAATGGAACACCCGCACACATACAAAAAATAGAAAAACAAACAAAAAGCTAGTTCCTTTCAAGGATCAATAAAAGAAGAACTCTAGCAAGATAGAAATTTTCGGCAGAGAGATGACACAGTTTACCAACATCAGGAATAAAAAGAGGATATCACTGTAGACTCAGCCGACGTCAAAAGCATAAGGGAGGCTGGGCGTGGTGGCCCATGCCTGTAATCCCAGCACTTTGGGAGGCTGAGGTGGGCGGATCATTTGAGGCCAGGAGTTCCAGACCAGCCATGGCCAACATGGCAAAACCCCATCTCTATTAAAAAGTCAAAAATTAACCAACCATGGTGGCACATGCCTGTAATCCCAGCTACCTGGAAGGGTGAAGCATGAGAATCACTTGAACCCGGGAGACAGAGGTTGCAATGAGCAGAGATGGCACCACTGCACTCCAGCCTGGGCGAAGAATGAGACCCTGTCTCACAAAAAACTAACAAAAAAACAAACAAAAACCTCTATGGGGGGAGGGAAGGAGACCTCTTAGAACTAAAAATGTAATACAGCAAGGTCACAGGATAAAAGTCTACAGAAATAAATTATATCTCCAAATAACGGCAATGAACATGTGGATAGTGAAATTTAAAATGTAATACCATGTATTTCCTAATAGCTAGAAGAGAAAATTTGGAATATTCCCAATGCAAAGAAATGAGAAATATCTGAGGCGATGGATTTGCTAATTCCCCATATTTAATTATTACACATTGTACGCATCAAAACACCTCTCTGTGCCTCACAAATATGTGCAATTATTATGTGTCAAGTAAACATAATTAGAAAATACATTTTTTAGGGCGGCGGTGGCGGCTCCCGGGACCAGGGACTTTTGTCTGGAGCGGCTGCGTGTTTGTGTGTGGGCGGGGTCCGGAGCCACCAGGCAGTCAGCCTTCCCAAGCTTGCTCAGTCCCAGCCGCCCCTCGCGGGGGTGGGGGACCGCCCCGTGGGCCGGGCATCCCCTCAGGCGCTGCCACCCCGCCTAGCCTGAGGGGAGGAACCCGCCGGGCCTCATCTAGCGGCCCAGCCACCTCCGAAGTTGCAGCCTCTGCTCTCAGTGCTCCGGACCCGAAGCCGTCCCTTGCCCCTCCGGCCGAGGCCATGAAGATCAAAGATGGCAAGAAATCCTCTTTCCCATGGTTTGGCATGGACATTGGGGGAACTCTAGTAAACCTCTCGTACTTTGAACCTATTGCTATCACAGCAGAGGAAGAACAAGAAGAAGTTGAGAGTTTAAAAAGTATTCGAAAATATTTGATTTCTAATGTAGCATGTGGATCCACCGGCATTAGGGATGTACACCTTGAACTGAAAGATTTAACACTTTTTGGCCGAAGAGGGAACTTGCACTTTATCAGGTTTCCAACCCAGGACCTGCCTACTTTTATCCAAATGGGAAGAGATAAAAACTTCTCAATATTGCAAACGGTGCTATGTGCTACAGGAGGTGGTGCCTACAAGTTTGAAAAAGATTTTCGCACAATTGGAAACCTCCACCTGCACAAACTGGATGAACTTGACTGCCTTGTAAAGGGCTTGCTGTATATAGACTGTTGGTTTCAATGGGCATGCGGAGTGCTATTATTTAGCTAATGCCTCAGAACCTCAGCAATGCCAAAAGATGCCTTTTAACCTGGATGATCCCTACCCACTGCTTGTAGTGAACATTGGCTCAGGAGCCAGTATTTTAGCAGTCCATTCCAAAGACATCTATAAACGAATGACTGGGACAAGCCTTGGGGAGGGTACCTTTCTGGGTTTATGCAGTTTATTGACTGGCTGTGAAAGTTTTGAAGAGGCTCTTGAAATGGCATTCCAAAGGTGACAGCACATAAGCTGACAAGCTGACCCATGATATTTATGGAGGAGATCATGAAAGATTTGGTTTGCCAGGTTGAGCTGTAGCATCTAGTTTTAGGAATATGATTTATAAGGAGAAGCGAGAATCATCTGTTAGTAAAGAAGATCTGGCAAGAGCTACTTTAGTTACTATCACCAATAACTTTGGTTCTGTGGCACGAATGTGTGCTGTTAATGAGAAAATAAACAGAGTTGTCTTTGTTGGAAACGTTTTATGTGTCAATACCCTCTCAATGAAACTTTTGGCATATGCACCGGATCTTTCGTCAAAAGGTCAACTGAAAGCATTGTTTCTAGAACATGAGGGATACTTTGGAGCAGTTAGTGCACTTCTTGGGCTGCCAAATTTCAGCTAAAGCTCCAGGTCTCTCTCTCAGCTAATAAATGTCATCCAAGAGGAACTGAAACCAGAGGCATTATTACTGCATTGTTTGTCACTGGCAACCAAAGGATAAAAGAGTAGCATAAGCTGCTGAATGTTGCCATATTAAGGGAGAGAATTTAGTAACGTGAAAAAAAAAATTTAAAAAGACAGTAAACTGTATAATCTCTGACAAAAAGGAAATACTTAGACGTAAATCTAACAGAATCTGAATAATGCTGAAAAAGACACAATGTAATGTAAGGCGGGCGTGGTGCCTCCAGCCTGTAATCCCACTTTGGGAGGCCGAGGCAGGTGGATCACCTGAGGTCAGGAGTTCAAGACCAGCCTGATCAACATGGTGAAACCCCATCTCTACAGAAATACAAAACTTAGCCGGGCATGATGGCAGATGCCTGTAATCTCAGCTATTCGGGAGGCTGAGGCAGGAGAATTGCTTGAACCCGGGAAGCAGAGATTGCAGTGAGCCGAATTGCACCATTGCACTCCAGCCTGGGTGATAAAGCAAGACTCCGTTAAAAAAAAAAAAGAAACTTACACAATGTAATGTACACAATGCTGATGAAATAAGTTTAAACAAACTAAAAACACACACAAAAAACTAAATAAATGGAGAGATGTACAGTGTTAACAGTTTGCAAAACTCAACACGGTAAAGATGGCAGTTCTTCTCAAATTGACATATAGGTTCAATGAAATTCTTATCAAAATCCAAGCAAGATTTTTATTCTAAAATTTATGTAGGAAGTTAAAGGAATTAGAATAGCTAAAATAATTATTAAGAATAAAAATATAAGGGGAAGAAACAGTCAACTTGACTTCAAGACTATTGTATTACATTGTTGTATGCTTGTATTATTGTATAAGAAAGGCAGTAAGCAAGTCCGGGCCCCCTGGCTCATGCCTGTAGCCTCAACAACACTTTGGAAGACTGAGGCGGGAGAATTGCTTGAGCCCAGGAGTTGCAGATCAGCCTGAGCAACAAAGGGTGATCCTGACTCTGCCAAAAAAAAAGAAAAAAAAAAAAACCTGGTCACAGTGGTCTTGCGCCTGTGGTTCCAGATACTCAGGGAGGCTGAGGTGGGAGGGTCACTGGGTCCCTAGATGTTGAGACTGCAGTGCGCAGTGATACTACCCACTGCACTCCAGCCTGGACTACAGAACAAGACTCTGTCTCAAAATTTTGTTTTTTTGTTTTTGAGACGGAGTCTTGCTTTGTCACCCAGGCTGGAGTGCAATGGCACGATTTCAGCTCACTGCAATCTCTGCCACCTCCCGGTTTCAAGTGATTCTCCTGCCTCAGCCTCCTGAGTAGCTGGGATTACAGGCACCTGCCACCACACCCAGCTATCAACAAAAAATTTTTTTAATAAAAAAATTAAAAGAATGTCAACATTATGCCTTATACAAAAATGAACTCAAAATGGATCAAGGATGTAAACATAAAATGTAAAAGTATAAAACTTTTGGGAAAAAAACATGGATGAAAATCTTTTGGATCTAGGGCAAGGCAAAGAATTTTACAGTTGGCATGGAAACATGATCCAGAGATCTTGTAAAGCTGGTTCTTCTCTTCCTCCTTCTCTCTCCTGCTGTATCATTTGCTTTGAGTGATGCTGAGGCTGGAAACAGGAAATGCAAATAGGAGAGCATTAAAGGCAACTAATTGGGTCGTGTCTTTAGTTTTTTTTTTTTTTTTTTTTTTTTTTTTTTTTTGAGACGGAGTTTCTTCCCTCTTGTTTGCCCAGGTTGGAATGCAATGACACAATGTTGGCTCACTGCAACCTCCACCTCCTGAGTTTAAGCAATTCTCCTGCCTCAGCCTCCCAAGTAGCTGGGATTACATGCATGTGACACCACGCCCAGCTAATTATTTGTATTTAGTAGAGACAGGGTTTCACCTTGTTGGTCAGGCTAGTCTCGAACTCCTGACCTCAGTTGATCCACCGCCTCTGTCTCCCAAAGTGCTGGGATTACAGGCGTGCACCACCACGCCAGGCCTGTTTTTACTTTTTATTTGATCAAGAAATGAGATAAAAAGAAAGAAAAAAGAGAAAGAAAGAGAGAGAGAGAGGAAGAAAGAGAGAATGGAGGAGAGAGAAGAAATGAAAGAAAGAAAATTGGAAGAGTTGAATCATAGTTCTTTGAGGAGTGGATTTGAGGAGTGAGTCAGAGAAAAGTAAAAAATAAAAGTACACAGAGTTGAACCCAGGGCCTCAAAAATGCAAAACACAAGCTCCTCTATCACTGTCATATAAAGAAAAATCCAAGTTAAAACAAGAAGACACAATATCAAAAGAAAGACTATTGCAATAGGAGAGCACTCAGCAATCTAAGCATCTCAAAATCAAACAGAAAACACTCTTCTTTTCTTTTATTTATTTATTTATTTATTTTTTTGAGATGGAGTCTTGCTCTGTCACCCAGGCTGGAGTGCAATGGCACGATCTTGGCTCACTGCAACTTCTGCCTCCTGGGTTCAAGCAATTCTCCTGACTCAGCCTCCTGAGTAGCTGGGATTATAGACGCAACACCACGCCTGGCTAATTTTTGTATTTTTAGTAGAGATGGGGTTTCACCATGTTGGTCAGGCTGGTCTCGAACTCCTGACCTCGTGATCCACCCGCCTTGGCCTCCTAAAGTGCTGGGATTACAGGGGTGATAAAAAGGCCTACCCTTTTCTTTTATAGGTAGGGAGGGCTAGGCAAAACTTTAGCAAACTTTAGCAAAACTTTTAAAGGAAATAGGGCAAGCAAGGGGGATAGGACTAGCAGGGTCTGACACCGAGCGTCTCTCTTATGGTTAGCCAAGGAGAATAAGCAGATAAGGGGCAGGGTCTGCTTTTTAGTGCTTACCCAGGCTTGGGCAAGCAGAGTTCAGGAGCCTGCAAGGAGAACAGTAGAAGAACAGAAGAAGTTTAGGGGCCTGACTAAAGTTTGGTTAAAACAAAGCAGAAAATAAGAAATGGTTTCCCCTTGGCCAGCACTTGGTCATCACTAAGCTACACCCCTAACTCTTCACTGAGAGCACTTTGATTTTCTGAAGCTCTGAATCCTTCATGATTTGTTATTAGTATTAACTGTAAAAGATGGACTTACCACTTTTTTTTCTGCATAGGGCTTGTGATGGAAGAAAAGTAGTGGAAATAAAAATCAGGTAATAGCTGCGTGCAGTTTACATTGCAGTTCTAAGCAGATTAATTGTTAAAGCTTCAGTCTTCTCTTATGAGTAATAAGAATCAAGTCTCGATTTGGGGCTTTTCTGATTTCCTTCAGAAATATCTTACCCTAGGAGGCAAGGATATTAAAAGTAAGCTTTTCTCTGGCTAAATACTTTGTGGTTATGTTTGCTCAACAAGATTTGATAAGATTTGTTGGAAAAAACTTGACATTGGGAGCAACAAAGAGAAATTCGTTTAGCATTTTGTTAAGAAGGGTCTCCTTTCCAGGAGCGATGGCTCATGCCTGTAATCCCAGCACTTTGGGAGGCTGAGGTGGGCAGATCACTTGAGGTCAGGAGTTTGAGACCAGCCCGACCAACATGTCAAAACCCCGTCTCTACTAAAAATACAATTTTAGTATTTTCAGTATTTTAGTACAAATACTAAAAATAAATTTTTTGTATTAGCTGGGCATAGTGGCAGGCGCCTGTTATCCCAGCTACTCAGGAGACTGAGGCAGGAGAATCGCTTGAACCCAGGAGACGGAGGTTGCAGTGAGCTGAGATCGCACCACTGCACTCCATCCTGGGTGACAGAGTAAGACTCCCTCTCAAAAAAAAACAAAACAAAACAAAACAAAGACAAAGAGATGGTAAATCCAACCCCACCCCTGACATAATGCAACTACAAACCTCACTGGCTTTCCTAGGTGGTTTAAGTTTTTGATTGAGAATAGGCAAGGAACCCCAGGAACAACTCTTCCCCCTCAGCAGGTGCCTGACCCTGGGACCACCTGAAACTTCTAGAGCAGTGCTTCGCTAACTTTAGCATCAGAGTCACTTGAGGGCTTATTTAAACACAGGAGCCTGAGCCCCATACTCAGCAGTTCTGATTCAACAGACCTAAGGTTGGGTCTGAAATTTATTGTTCTGCTTGCAGCACCCTAATCCCCCCCCGGCTTGCTCTCCTGTGCAGTGTCCACTGTGGCTAACGTGCCACCGTTTGCCTGGAGAGAACCAATGGATATCAGGAAATTAAAGAAGAAAAAGTATGAAACACAAAGAAAATACATGGCATGTGTGTATTACCTTCCTCCAAAAAATGTATCTCAAAACAGTTGTAATTAGATGGATCGAGAAAGAACATGAAATGTTTGTTTGGTTTTTTCGACCAGAGGAAGTGCCCAACACAACTGTGATCTACTTACCTTTTACTCTGCATGTATTTTCCATTGTGACAAAACCTTTTCCTGTTTTTTTTCATATGGGGCCTCCGTTTGCTGTTACCAGAAGTTCCCAGGCAATATTGGAGGGACTGAGGAAATACAGGAATATGAATATGAATCAGTCTTATGGAATATCCGTAGGGAATGTTGATCCGTATTGGTTTCTGCTTCTCGCATGTTGAAGGCCTCTTATTCCCCGACAGTCTTCGTTCGGCCATCCAGCGCCCTGCCACTCCCATCTCAAGCGACTAGAGAGCCACAGTAGTCCTTGTCTCAGTATTGGATTGCACTTGTGTCCCTGTGCAGGTCGACAGGGAGAGACTGGTGGAGAAATCAGCAGACAGATGCTTTCACTCTGCTCTTTTGCCTAGAAAACAAAGATAACTAAAAAGAAAAAAAGATGCCCACGGGCATTTTTCTCCCTTCTTCGTCTTTGCGCCTCTTTAATCATTGTACAAAATGGAGGGCCGGGCGCGGTGGTTCATGCCTGCAATCCCAGCACTTTGGGAGGCAGAGGCGGGTGGATCACGAGGTCAGCAGTTTGAGATCAGCCTGACCAACATGGTGAAACCCCGTCTCTACTAAAAATACAAAAAAATTAGCTGGGCGTGGTGGTGGACGCCTGTAATCCCAGCTACTTGGCAGGCTGAGGCAGGAGAATCGCTTAAAAACGGAAGGCAGAGGTTGCAGTGAGCCGAGATTGCGCCACTGCACTCTAGCCTGGGCAACGAGAGCAAAACTCCATCTCAAAAAATAAAAGGGAGCGAACGCGAACCGCCTGTGCATGCATTTGTTTGGGGTCAAGAGACCCCTGTTGTGATCCCGTTCTTCTTTCCCCCTCGTTACTTTTTTGTCTTCCTTCTGCTGTCGCAATCGCCTTACGTGATGTTGAGGCTCACAGCATAGAGGTTGGGGATAGTTCAAGGCAATGCATTGGAGTACATTTTTTACTCTCTATATGTGCAGAAATAGGATAGAAAAATGTGAGGAGGCAGAGAACTGCCAGAGTAAAACCATCACTTGGAGGTGCTGGGGATCCAACCCAAAGTCTCATACATGCAAAGCATCCGCTCTACCACTGAGCTACACCCCCTTCCTAAAAGGCCTCTTTGTAATAATTTTCAGGAGGTAACTTTCATTTCCTGAGACTCTCCGTGAGCATGCGGGTAGTAGTGGTCAGAACTATAGAGCATGGAGAGCTACTCTGAGCAGGAGATATTTGGTACTAATGGGGGATACAGATTCTTTAGAATACTGTGTAGGATTTGAAATGAAAAAAGATTAGAAAAGTGTCAGATAATAACCACAAGAAGTTTCCATTATGGCTTCAAGACGTTGAGTTCTTAGGGTCTCCTTCTATTATGCTTGGCAAGAATCAAGTTCTGGTTTTCGTTTCTTTTGATTTCTTCCAGATATGACACAAAGCCATTGAAATTCAGCCTTTCCCTGACTAAAATGCTTCATATTTGTTGTTTACTCAATAGGAATATCAAGGGTAAGATTTGGTGGAGGAAAGCCATAATCAGAATAAAACCTGAGAGCAGTGCACTCAGCATTTTTTCATATGGGTCCCTAGCTGGCGTGGTGTCTTAACGCCTGTACTCACAGCTATTCCAGAGGCTGAGGCACGAGGATCGCTTGAGCTCGGGAGTTGGTGGTTGTAGGGAGCTATGATTGTGCCACTGCCCTCGAGCCTGGGAAACGTAGTGAGAAAAGCAAGCAAGCAAGCAAGACAAAGTGGGAGTAAGGGAGTGAGGGAGGGAGGAAGGGAAAGAGGGAAGGAAGGAAGGAAGAAGAAAGAGAGAGGGAGGGAGGGAAGGAAGGAGGGAAGGAAGGAAAGGGGAGAGAGAGAGAAAAGGAGATGGGAGGGAATTCATAAGGCATAAATGAAAAACAGCTTTGGGGGTGGAGAGGAGGGTTGAATTATGAGAGTAAGACGAAAGATAAATAGAAACAGGATTGAAGAGTAGTTCAGAAAAACAAACATGCTATTGCCAAAGACAAGCAGGTACAGAAAAGGGCAGGTTTTAACAACTCTTTTAGGAATGGGAGAAAGATTGAAAGATGGAGATGAGTTAGTTTGGCTCACACTAAATTTAAAATATCTCCGGGGCACGGTTGTGAAGATATTACACGGAGAACTCAGGCAATTAACTCCGTCTCCAGCCTGGGATTTGTAAGCATTAGTAGTAGGAGACACATTACACGGAGGTGGATAAAGACTAAAAAGTATACTTTGAGATATGGGAATTACAAACCTATTCGTGATATTTGTGGGCATCAAACAAGTTTGCTCCTAAATAGTTCTCAAATCTTGGGACTTATCACGTTGAGACTGGGTTCTTTGAACTATATAAGAAGATGAGAAGAAAACCCATTTCCCGGAACCAAATTTCTAGTGACTGTTAACTCTTTCTCATTCTGGTTTGCCCACATATGAGCCTTTGCCAATATTAATAAAATAACATTGATCCATTTTAAAAATGGCAGATTGCAAGTTGTATGCCAGACTTTTCAGATGGCTGATGGGATTTCTAGAATAAAAATAGGAAACACTGAGTAATAGGTTTCACTGAAGGAAAGACTAGAGAAGCGTTACACACAAAATTGATGTGTATTCATGTGTGTGTGTCTGCCTGTCTGTGTCTGTGTGTGTGTGCATGTAAATGCTGGGGAGGATTATCTTGACTCTTTGATGCCATAAAAACAGTATTAGGACAGTTTGCAGAAACACTCCTTCATCCTTATGTCATGTCACACCCAGAGAAACCTGCCTGTCTATCAGATTCTTGGGAATTCACAATAAGAAAGTATGCTTTTTTGTTTGCCACATAAAAGGGGGGAATTTAAAATAATTAAATATCCATATCTATCTTCAGACTATCTACCAACATGATTGAAACATTTTTCTTTTTGCATATAATCTGTAGGATGAGCTCATTTAACACAGCATTCTTCTGAGGAATTAAACATTTAATTTTGAAGACAGAAGACCCTCATGTCATACATATTCAGTTTTGAAAACCTAAAAATATATAAAGTATCTTTTTAAATCTGCACTGTCCAATATGGTTACCATTACCACATTGGCTATTGAATGCTTGAAATTGCCCAGTCCAAGGTAAGATGTGTTGTAAATATAAAATACATACAGATTTCAAAGATGAAATATCACTTTTTAATATAAAATAACTCACTTATAATTTTAAGATGGATTACTTAAAATAATGTTTTTGTTATACAAGGCGATTTACATATATTAAAACTGGACATAAAAGATGGAAACAGTAAACACCGGGGACTACTAGGGAGTAGCCAGGAAGGGGAAAGGCTTGAAAAGCTAACTGTTGGATACTATGCTCACTACCCGGGTGATGGGATTAATCCCACCCCAACCCCAGCATCATGCGATATACCCATGTAACAATCCTGCACATGTATTCTTTTGATTCTTCGAAGCATGTTAGTCTCACATAGTCAAAAAATAAAACTGACTCAAGTGTGTGTGAAAATACCCTAAAATTCAATACAAATAGAGGCAAATTAAAACTGCATTGTGAAAGAATAACAACCCCATTGAAAGAACTGATTTAAGAAAATGCTTTACACAGTTCGTTGTTCTAATTGTAAGTACAAAAAGAAGAGGAAACAAATCTTAAACTCTATGTATAAGGGTTATTTTTTGTACAACTAAGGCTGTAGGAATTCTGAGATTTTGTGAGAATTTTAGGATTGGGAAAATGAGTGTGTGAGAGTAAGCAGGCTGTCACTGTAAGAGCAAGAAGGTAAAGAATAGTCCTGTTGGTGTTTATGGGAATTGGAGGCATCAGTAAGAAATTATACATATGTAATTGTATAGGCCAGGCATGGTGGTTCACACTTATAATCTCAGCACTTTGGGAGGCTGAGAGACGTGTGGATCACTTCAGGTCAGGAATTGAGAACACCCTGGCCAACATGGCGAAACCTCGTCTCTACTAAAAATACAAAAATTATCGGGTGTGGTGGCCACGCCTGTAGTCCCAGCTATTCGGGAGGCTGAGGCAGGATAATCGCTTGAATTCGGGAGGCGGACGTTGCAGCGAGCCAAGATCGCACCACTGCACTCCAGCCTGGGATAGTGAGTGAGACTCTGTCTCAAAAAAAAAAAAAAAAAGTACATTTTCCCTACAGATCTGTCTGCTAACTGGGCCTGGAAGAAATACCTCAGAAACAATGATCAAGATAACTCTATTTTTCAAACACCATTCTCTACTAAAAGGAACCAGACATACTAATAGAAAGTAGCTACTAGTGTTAACTACAGTGACTCCAGCAGGACAGTGCCAGGGAAACTACAAGATGAACCTAAGATATCTTGCTGTGCCAGAATGATGGGGATGATTTAAAAGAACAAAGAAGCGCCGGGGTGGCTCACGCCTGTAATGCCAGCACTTTGGGAGACCTAGGCAGGCGGATCACCTGAGGTTCCAGACCTGCCTGGCCAATATGGTGAAGCCCCATCTCTACTAAAAATACAGACTGGCCTGGCGTGGTGGCACATGCCTCTAATCCCAGCTACTTGGGAAGCAGAGGCAAGAAAATCACTTGAACCCGGGAGGCGGAGTTTGCAGTGAGCCGAGATCGCACCACTGCACTCCAGCCTGGACAACAGGGCGAGACCCGTCTCAATAAATAAATAAATAATGAAGTCCATGAGAAAAATCATTGTATGTGTGTTTAGGCGTAAAGAGAGAGGAGAATCATTGTGGCAAAATATTGGGAATTGCTAAACCTGAGTAACGTGTGTATGGTAGTTCTTTGTATTATTTTTGCAACTTTTCTGTAGGCTTGAAATAATTTCAAACTAAAAAGGTTTTTTAATTCTCCCTTCTCAAATTTATTTTCCCTCTTCCTTCAAGGACTGTACTCTTCCATCAAGAGTAACGTAGATGGATACTAAAACAGAAGGGTCAGTACCGCCTCAGGGGATTTAGGTCCAGGTGAGGAGGTGAGAAAGTGGAATTCCGAACTCTTAGAAATGAAGACCCAGGAGCGTGGGTCGCTGCCCATCCTTACCCTCGCCGGTGACTGGGCCAGCACTGTGGTCGCAAAACCCAGCATGGATTTCATCTTGGGGATGCTGTGGTTCCAGTTCTGACACTCAAGAAACGACAGACGGAGAGAAGAACGAGGACCACCTACGAAAAGAGCTCGAGAGGGAAGCAGGGACGTGGTGGGGTGTGCACCTGCTGTAGCGGCGGCAAAGGCGGAGGAGAAACGAAGTGGGTGAGCGCCCGAGGCTGCCAGAGGATCTGGGTGGGCAGGGAGGCTGACTGCAGCCCCGAAGCCCATCGCTGCGTTTCCTCGGTGTCTGCGATAAACGAGAGGGCTCATTCCCTGTAGGAGAAGTGAGCTGAAAACACTTTCCCGCAAGACCTCCCTCCTTTTGCTCAAGGCAGTCGTGGCGTTGAGAACGCGTCACAGCTCCTTTACTGGCTGGGGCACTGGGGAGCACAGGTACCCTTGAGTTTTGGTACAGGCGAGTGGTATTGGTGGCTTCCGAGAAACTACAGAGAAACCACCTATTTCCAATCCCTACTGTTCCTGAGGGAGAGAGTGTTGAACCGGGAAGAGAGACCACCCTCCTGCTTAAGCACCTTTGTTACAGATAGGAAGAGTGTTCTTTGCTTTTGT
Organism: Homo sapiens; assembly: GCF_000001405.40. NCBI lineage: Eukaryota > Metazoa > Chordata > Mammalia > Primates > Hominidae > Homo > Homo sapiens. The sequence continues at coordinate 50,279,363 of NC_000011.10, forward strand.
TTTAGCTTTTCAAGCTTGGAATACAAGTTATGAAAAACAAGAAAGGTAAGGCAGTCCCAGTATATTTTAAACTTAAGATGGTTTTCAGAAGTACTACCTTTTTATGGAATTCACGGTGTCCACATTTCAACCTACCTAGCAGAGTGAAGCTCTATGAGTCTAATATCTTGGCTTTCTTCCACATCAGCAAGCCTCTGAAATTCAGGTTTCTTTCTGGACAATATCACCTACACTTTTGCAGTGGGCTCCTATATTGCCTACGTCCAACTCGTGGAAGCATGAACAGTGGGAAAAGCCAAGGTTACCACATAAAAAAAGATCCTTACATGAGACATGTGGAAATAAAGCAGCAGCTGAGGTGTGTGTAGAGGAAGAGACAAACATGAAAATGTAGAAAGTGGATAGATAATTTTTTCCAAGGAGGAAGAGGAATGGTCTGCTCACAACAAGGAACTCTCTACTTAGTGCTGCGAAGATACTTTTATTACATTTCATGCATACACTGGATTTTAACAACCAGAACATGGTGTAATTGGTGGGGGCTGGAGAGACAGCAGTCACTCCCAACCCTGAGGGTGAGTCCCCAACCTGAGGGTGAAGAGAAAATGATTACAGTCTCTGCCATAGAGCTTAGAATCATCCAAACCTGGGTTTCAAATTGAAAGGCCCAAATAGCTTGAGAGGGCTCCAGGTATTTCAGCTCAAAATAGTCTCCTGGTTCAAGAGAACTCCTGTGAGGTCTTCCACAGGAAAATCAGTCTGTTGTGTGTGACCGGAAAAGTTACCTAAAAGATTGAAGGAGTCAAAGAAATGGTAAATCCAACCCACCCCTGATGTAAGGCGAATACAAACCTCACTGGCTTTCCTAAGTTTGAGTTTTTTATTGAGAATAGGCAGGGAATCCCAGGAACAATTCTTCCTCCTCAGCAGGTGCCTGACCCTGGGACCTCCTGAAACTTCTAGAGCAGTGCTTCGCTAACTTTAGCATCAGAGTCAATTGAAGGCTTATTCAAACACGGGAGCCTGAGCTCCATACTCAGCAGTTCTGATTCAACAGACATAAGGTTGGGCCTGAAATTTATTATTCTGCTTGCAGCACCCTAATCCCCCACCCCTTGCTCTCCTGTGCAGTGTCCACTGTGGCTAACATGCCACCAATTGCCTGGAGAGAACCAATGGATACCAGGAAATTAAAGAAGAAAAAGTATGAAACAAAAAGAAAATACATGGCATGTGTGTATTACCTTCCTCCAAAAAATGTATCTCAAAACAAACATATGATTGGTCTGGAGGCACACACACAGCCAGTCCTCGGCTAAGCAGGTTTCACCAACAGTATCCCTCTTGGATGCTGGTTATAGATATTTTCACTGGACAAAAGAATCAAGTAAGGGCATGTCAGCCTCATAGAGTGTATCTATCATGCCAGCCTGATAGGCTGGTAGGCTAGGAACAAACATCATACTCTCTTGCCTCTCAAAGACACTTTAATTCAACAGGAAGTAAGTACAGAGGGAACAGCAGTTTTGAAACCATACACCATTGGAAACCCTAAAAGGTATCTTGAGTGCATAGGATTTCTTGGGAGTTTGTTGTGGGAAGTCAGGGACCCCGAACGGAAGGACCACCTGGAGCCGTGGCAGAGAAACATACATTGTGAAGATTTCATTTTAATATGGACATTTAATATGTCCATTATTATGTCCAATAATACTTTCATAATTTATTACACCTGTAATCTCTTAATCCTGTTATCTTCGTAAGCTGAGGATGTACATCACCTCAGGACCACTGTGATAACTGTGTTAACTGTAAAGACTGACTGTAAAACATGTGTGTTTGAACAATATGAAATCACTGCACCTTGAAAAAGAACAGAATAACAGCAATTTTTAGGGAAGAAGGGAAGATAACCATAAGGTCTGACTGCCTGTGGGGTCAGGCAAAAAGAGCCATATTTTTCTTCTTGCAGAGAGCCTATAAACAGATGTGCAAGTAGGGAAGATATCGCTAAATTCTTTTCCTAGCAAGGAATATTGATATTAATACTCTGGGAAAGGAATGCATTCCTGGGCGGGAAGTCTATAAACAGCCATTCTGGGAATGTCTGTCCTATTCGGTTGAGATAAGGACTGAGATATGCCCTGGTCTCCTGCAGTACCCTCAGGCTTACTAGGATTGGGAAACTCCATCCTGGTAAATTTGTGGTCAGACCGGTTCTCTGCTCTCAAATCCTGTTTTCTGTTGTTTAAAATGTTTATCAAGAAAATACGTGCACCTGAACATAGACCCTTATCAGAAGTCCTGCCTTTTGCCCTTCGTCCTGTTTCCTCAGAAGCATGTGAACTTTGTTCTGCTTTTTGCCCTTTGAAGCATGTGATCTTTGTACCTACCTATGCCCTGTTCGTACACCCCCTCCCCTTTTGAAATCCTTAATAAAAACTTGCTGGTTTTGAGGCTTGGGTAGGCATCACAGTCCTACCGATATGTGATGTCAGCCCCGGTGGCCCAGCTGTAAAATTCCTCTCTTTGTACTCTTTCTCTTTCTTTCTCAGCTGGCTGACACTTATGGAAAACAGAAAAAAACCTACGTTGAAATATTGGGAGTGGGTTCCCCCGATATTTTTTTCGTTTTTTTTTTTTTGATACAGGGTCTCACTTTGTCTCCCAGGCTGGATGGAGTGCGGTGGTACAATCTCAGCTCACTACAACCTCTGCCTTTCATGCTCAAACCATCCTCCCGCCTCAGCCTCCTGAGTAGCTGAGACTACAGGCATGCACCACCACGCCCAACTATTTTTTGTATTTTTAGTAGAGACGAGGTTTCGCCATGTTGCTCAGGCCAGTCTTGAACTCCTGAGCTTAAGCAATTCTCCCATCTTGGCCTCCCAAAGCGCTGGGATTACGGGTGTGAGCCACTGCGCCTGGCCTAATTTTAATTATTATATATTACACGCATCACTGAAAAATCATTAAAGGTTCTAAGGAAGAATACTTACAGGAAATGTTTGCATGAATGTGTAAAATAAAAGTAAGGTGAATTTACTAATTGTTAAGCTATTTTTGTTAGTGTCATCTAACATTTTAGATAATGAATGATTTTCCCTTTCACTAAAATCACTTTCACTTCTATATGACTACATAATTCTGATTTTTTCCAGGTTATAAAAGTCTTTATTTCCATTTAATTAAATATGCTTTATCCTTTTATGATTCAACCCACTCCTCCATTCTCAAAATAATTTGGTAATTAGCAATACAGTTTCCCCACAGTTTCAGGAATTTGTCTCTTCCATTTCCCATCACTGATACCATAACTCTCTCTTCTCCTCTTTTCTTTCCCTATTTGATTTCTGAAACACCCATCTCCACACCCAGAAAATATTTGTATAGTTTTCCTCCTTTCCATTGTCTTCCTTGGTTTACCTAAGTCTCTTAATTAGCAAAGACTTCTTTGAACTTGCCTCTTTCTTAGAAGAAAACACTATTTCTTTGACCTGCAAAATTTCAATTACTTGGGATTTACAGACATCTATCTGCAATACTGGTATTGTATTTCCTTCCTTCAAGTACTTATTAAATATCCACTAGATGCCTTTGTCATAAAGACATGAGCTAAATTAAATATACATCTTTTTAACAATATATAACTTTAGAATTTTTAGGCATAAAAGTCTTGCTGGTCTGCTATATTAATTCTTCCTGCAGGCATGGTCGGTTTGCTCTGGAATGCTTACACTAGGGAGGCCCCTTACTAGCTGCCAGGCTGTGAACTTTTGAATATTCAAAGTAGCCTCTGGGCCGGGTGGGCATGGTGGCTCACGCCTGTAATCCCAGGACTGTGGGAGGCCGAGGCAGGCGGCTCACTTGAGGTCAGGAGTTTGAGACCAGCCTGGCGAACATGGTGAAACCTCATCTCTACTAAAAATACAAAAATTAGCCGGGTGTGGTGGTGCACGCCTGTAATCCCAGCTACTCGGGAGGCTGAGGCAGGAGAATTGCTTGAACTTGGGAGGTGGAGGTTGCAGTGAGCCAAAATCATGCCACTGCACTCCAGCCTGGGAAACAGAGCGAGACTCCTTCTCAATAAAGTAGCCTCTGGCTCAGTAACTAGATATCCCCTCTATGGCATTTTAGGTATGTAGGCAATTATTGATTGTATACTTTTAAAATACACAAGAAAAAGTTATAGAAAACCACCATGTCAAGCACTGGGCAAGTACCATAGAAGATTTAAAAACAAGAGGAATGCAATGGCAATTAGGATTTATTAAACATTCTCTACTTATATACTGTCATAGAAGATTATATTATTAATAGTTATTCTTTTGAAGTCACACCTTAAGAATGGAAGAGGAAGGGAATAGTTCATAATAGAGCCTGAAGTGTTGGATTCTCAAAACCCAGAGGATGACCTTCTCATGCATTTGCTCTTCTCTACTAAGTGAGGCCTGGTAACCCCAACTGCTGAATCAATCCTATCATGTAGTTCCTACCAAAAACACCTGCTCCTTTGAAAATAAAGATCAATTACATGCCAATTTCTTTAATTTCAAAATTCACTCTCATTTCTACTGTATTTCTTAAGGTAGAAGTTTGACTCTCTTAAAATTTCCCCCTCACTTCTCACTTGTGAGAATGACCTTCTTGTTATTCCACAATTTCTAATTATTATCCAGATTTATGTTACTACCTTTTTTTTACACAGCTAAAGAGATTCTTATGTTTTGGGAAAGTGGGTAGAGGTATGAAAATGAATAGATATCAACTTAAGACAGACATCTAAAGCTGGAGGATAAAGAGAGTATGTGGTAAAGATGTAGAGAAGCAAGAGAGAGAAGTGGGAAATGAGGAGTGAGGTAGGGAGAGGAAGGAATGTGCCTCAACATGAAAACACTGAGGATCATTTTGATGCCCTTTTAGTTCCTTACCTACTAACATCTCTAGTCCTATTACACTATTTCTTCATGATTTCCTCTCTGCTGCTGCTTTTCTAATTCATTAGTAAGAGATCCTCTTTACTAGTCCTGGTCCTCTAATCAGGATGGTCTCAATGTCCTGCTCCCATAGGCTTTCCGTCTCTTTTTCAGCAGATGTGCAAGACACAATTTAAGGATTTTTTTCTTACCTGGTAGGAAGATTGATTTTGTTTACTATGTTCTAGTATGTAAAATGTGCCCTACTCACCAGCTACCAGGCTGTGCAACTTTTAACATTCAAATTCTAGCTTTTGACTCAAAAACTAGCCTTGGATTATATACTTTTCACACGGTTTTTACATTAAGAAAGAGTCTCTTCTATTTCACTTTCCATAGTTATTTCAGTATTAAACCTCAATACAAAGTATAATGACAAAGTACAGAGACTAATTTTCCTATGTATCCCTAGACACAAATTATTTTGTAACTTTTGCTCATGACTTCAAAACCTTGGAGAAAGAATCATCTACATGTAGCGCCTACTTCATTGCTAGACTGAAGATATAAATTTAAATAGCTACATTTATAGAAGGCAAAAAGTAAATCTGTCCAACTCTTATTTAGGGAAAGAAAATCTCATGCTATTTCCATGATTGCTTGCACTTACCTTATCAACATATTTCTTAGAATTGTAAAATAACAATGTTCACCATTTTCAACTGTAAGAAAAAAACAGACCACATATATTTCCACTAAGCCCAGTCTTTTCAAAAAATATTTCACCGGAACTTGGGGGGTAAAAACAAGGAGGGGAAATGCAAAACAGCTTAGATCAATTTTTTTGAGATTTAACACTAACATACTACTCAACGTAAGGGCATGACAGAGAAGTGTACTATATTATTGCCTTATTGTAGTTTAATCTTCAGAAATAGATACATAAACGTAACAAATGAGCTCTCCGGAAACAACTTTGAAATTTTGTAAGGGGAAACCATGTATTTTCTCATTATTGGCAAAAAATATATTTATTCTATAATACATTTAAAAAATTCAGTGGTGTAAGTGAAGGGAGAATCACTTTAGAAAAAATCTTAAGGTAACCAAAATGAAAAAGGGAGCCAAGAACTTTAAGGTTCTTTACTTTTATTTTTAAATAATGTATCACAAATACGAATATTACTTGAGAGTAGAAGGGTAAACTACAAAAGAGAGATGAAAATCAATTTCTCCGTTGCCTATTTTTAAGCAGTATGTAAGTTTTAAAGCCTCAGCTCAGCAACTGAAAGTTGCCTGGGCATGGCAGAGGGAACTGGGAACAAGGTACGGGGGTCACTGGTGGGAAAATTGCCAATAAGGACAGTAACTTGAAACAATATCCTAAAAATTAAAGAACTGTTCAAAATAAAACAGGGGCAGTGGTGTGTGCCTATAGTGACGTGATATGGGAGGAGCATGACGTGGGAAGATCACTTTGAGCTCAGGAGTTTGAGGCCAGTTGGGCAACACAGCAAGACCTTGTCTCTTAAAAAAAAAAAAAAAAAACAAAGTTCAAAAATCATAGCAACAAACATAAAACAATCATGTCTCAATTTTGGTTTCAGCTTACTGTAACACAGAAGATTAAATATCAGATTAAACAAATACAATAAACCTATTGCCAAGAGGAAGGACTTCTGAGGTTTGGTGTTATAACTAAGATTTTACTGGTATTTAAAACTCCTTACTTAACCCTTAATAATTTAAGATAGCAAGTTAAGAAACAAAAAACTCCTTACAAAACTAGTAAAGAGGATCTCCTACTAATGAAATTTTTTTACTCTAAATATGCAATGTCAAAAAGGGCAACTTTTGCATTGAGGAAAGGAGACTGTGAATGTTTTAACTGGACTTATACATTTTTAAAATAATTCTTGAGGGTCCATGACCCATCTGACATTCTGATAAAAGTGACTGGCCTTCTCTCCAAAATGTTTGATTCCAGGAGGTTCATTAGATTTCCTGGGAGCAAACTGTGGGCCCCAGGTAAAGAACCCCTGAATTTTAGGTATGTTTTCAAATAAGAAAACAGAAATAGACTTAATGATGAGGCAGAGATGCCAGCCTGGGTGGGGCAAGTTGAGTATCTCTTATTTGAAATGCTTGGGACCAGAAGTGTTTTGAATTTTTTTGGAATTCTGGAATATCTGTGTTATACTTACTGGTTGAGCATCCTTAATCCAAAAATCCAAAATTCAAAATGCTCCAGTGAGCGTTTCCTTTGAGCGGCATGTCAGTGCTCAAAACGTTTTAGATTTTGGAGCAATTCACATTTTGAATTTTCTCTTTAAGAATGTTCAACCTAGGCGGGGTGCGGTGGCTCATGCCTGTAATCCCAGCACTTTGGGAGGCTGAGGCGGGAGGATCATAAGGTCAGGAGTTTGAGACCAGCCTGGCCAATATGGTGAAACCCTGTCTCTACTAAAAATACCAAAATTAGCCAGGTGTGGTGGTGCACGCCTATAGTCCCAGCTACTCGGGAGGCTGAGGCAGAAGTATCATTTGAACTCGGGAGGCAGAGGTTGCAGTGAGCCGAGATCATGCCACTGCACTCCAGCCTGGGTGACAGAGGGAGACTCCATCTAAAAAAAAAAAGAATGTTCAACCTATACTACAACTTTAGGACTTAACACATACTTACCTGACTTAGTAGGATACAGGCATGAGCCACCACGCCCAGCCAATGCTAATATATTTTTTACCTTTTTCCTCCCAAGTATGGGACAACTTTCTGTAGTGATTTTTAGTAAATAATTTGCCCAGTATATTCTTGAATATTCTTAACTTTAAAGAGGAAATTTGGCAGGGCGCGGTGGCTCACGCCTGTAATCCCAGCACTCTGGGAGGCCAAGGCGGGCAGATCATGAGGTCAGGAGATTGAGACCATCATGGCTAACACGGCGAAACCCCGTCTCTACTAAAAATACAAAAAATTAGCCAAGCGTGCGGCATGTGCCTGTAGTACCAGCTGCTGGGGAGGCTGAGGCAGGAGAATGGCGTGAACCTGGGAGGCAGAGCTTGCGGTGAGCCGAGATCACACCACTGCACTCCAACCTGGGCAACAGAGCGAGACTCCGTCTCGAAGAAAGAAAGAAAAAAAAAAAAACACTTAAAACAGCCATATTTAAAAACTGACAAAGGATAAGGATACTATGATAATGGGTAAGAGCTTTGAGGGGAAAACTAAGGCAGAAGATTCAAGAGTTATTTTTAATACAGCATAAATGACAACACAGTAAAGCAGTAAGAGGAATGGATTGCAACACATTATACTAAAAATAGTAAAAACTGCAAATTATGAGAATGGTATAAGAAACCTGAGTTAACACATCCTGCTCACCTGTTTTTTAAACTGTTGGCATTCCTCTGGTGTGAGTGTGTCTGCTTTGGCAATAAGTGGGGTGATACTCACTTTTTCATGCAAACGCTTCATAAACTCAATATCCAATGGTTTAAGTCTGAAATACACAGTATTTAATACGACTGAATTGATCAGTTTGGGAGAACAAGATTCTTCACATCCCCAGTTAGATTTCAATTATCTTCAATTGGTCAACTGACTCTCAAATCTTCATACACAGCCCATATCTCACTGTTACGTTCCAGATTTGTGTTTACCCAGTGGATATGCTACCTGGGTGTTCCATGGGCTCCTTAAAATCAAAAGCTCATCTGAACCTCATTTTCTCTCTTCTATGCTTCCTATCTCAGTGAATGGCACTACAGTCTACCTAATTACTCAAGTGTGAAACCTAGGATTCCTCCCCTCCTCTAATCCTCTTCCCATATATATAGTATGTGTATAGATGTAAATATATATATATGTATGTATATCTCCATTTCCATTACTTTAGTCTAGGCCACCAAGACCTTTGGAATGAATAACTGTAATACAAACCATCCATACTGAAGTCAGAGTGGTCTTTCTAAATCCAAATCTTATTGAGTTATGCCCTAACCAAAAATCTTATTAAAGACCAGATGCCTTAACTAGTATGGCCTACAAAGCTTGTGAAGACATAGATTCTCCAGCTGACCTCATCTCTTAGCATTCCTAGCATTTCCTTTGCCTCCTACTTCCAATGTGCCAACCTTTTTGAACTTCTTACAATTCCTTGAAAGCACCATACTTTGACATCTGGCCACAGGCTACTACCTTGGCTGGAACACCCTCCATTATCATCCTGCTTCTCCTTGGCCTGGCTAATTCCTACTCATCCTCATGACACTGGTTTATGATCCAATTTCCACTGGGAATCCTTTTCCAACCTAATACTAGGCATATTTCTATGTGGTCACAACACTTAATGTGCTGTACAGTAATTGCCTGCCTGCATACAGATGCTTCCTCACTATGATTCCACTTAACAATTTTTCAAATTTTTGATAGTGTGCAAGCAATACACATTGAATAGAAACCATACAACCATTGTTTTTTACTTTCAGTATATTATTCAATAAATTACATGAGATATTCAAAATGTTATCGCAAAATAGGCTTTATGTTAGATGATTTTGTCCAACTGTAGGCTACGCTATAATGTTTAGTAGGCAAGGTGTATCAAACATATCTTCAACTTACGATGGGTTAATGTAACCCTGTCCCAAGTCGAAGAGCATCTGTATTTGTTTCTCCCATCTTCTCACTGAAATACTCTTCGCAGTGAGGGCCTTGTCTCATTCATCTGTATCCTCAGGACCTAGCATGGTATCTAACACTCGTGAAGGTGCCCAAATATCCGTTGAGGAAAAAGTAAGCTGCTGTGATTTTCCTTGTGTCCTTTAGCAATTCTAAATGAGAACCAAAGTCCTCAAATTTAGAATACACTGTGGACTAAAATTTTATGTTTCACAAGAATAAATGAAGACACTAGAAATATTTTGAAAAGGACTACCATTCTAAAGTGGTACTCCTTAATTTTTACAAAAACATGCGAAAAATGAAATAAAGGTCTCATTCTGTTATTAATTTTATTGACATACTAATAATTGAATTGACTGACATTTTAAAATGAAGAAAGAGAAACATATATACTAAAATTGGGGGGATCAGAGTCCTAAGACTAATAGGATAGTCCAGTCTTTTTACTAACAAAGATTACTGTATATACTTCACTGTGGTAGTAAGGCTGACAGGCAGAAAGAGACAGTGAGGGGGAGAAAGCAAACATGGAGAATTAAGATAGCGGTGTAGTCATAGCTCACCATAGCCTCCAATTCTTCCACTTTGACTCCTAAGTAGCTAGGACTACAGGAGTGTGCCTCCATGCCCAACTAATTTTTTTTTTTTTTTTGAGTTTCATTCTTATTGCCCAGTCTGGAGTGCAGTGGCACAATCTTGGCTCACAGCAACCTCTGCCTCCCGGGTTTGAGCGATTCTCCTGCCTCAGCCTCCCAAGTAGCTGGGATTACAGGCATCCGCCACCAAGCCCAGCTAATTTTTGTATTTTCAGCAGAGACGAGGTTTCACCATGTTGGCCAGGCTGGTCTTGAACTCCTGACCTCAGGTGATCCCCTGCCTCAGGCTCCCAAAGTGCTACGATTACAGGTGTGAGTCACTGCGCCCAGCCCCAACTAATTTTTTTTATTTTTTGTAGAGACAGGATGTCACTATGTTGCCTAGTCTGAGGCCTCAAGCAATCCTCCTGCCTTGGTCCCCAAAGTGCTGGGATTACAGGCGTAAGCCACTGCATCTGGCCTGAACCTATCCATCTTTGAAAAAAAAATTAAGTTTTGCTTCTTTTTATTAATCATTATATAAAACACTAAATAGAAATGCCATGAATTATTCAATCTCAGATTTCTAAATTGTTATGGTTTTTCAATTTATACTCATGACTAATTTAAATTGTCACTGCCTTATTAAGCTATTATGTCAGATACAAGCCTGCTTATTAATCCAGTGACAAAAAAGCAGAGTTCAATTAATCTAAAATTTTAATAAATCTTAAAGGCATTTAATATAAAGTATTAAAATCCAAATAACAAGATTTTATATTTAAACGCAAATCAATACTTGCTGAATACTTATTATAATATCCCAACTTTTAAAGATAAAAATATTTAAAAATAAACATGACAAGGAAATTAGAGAAGTCAACTTCTTAAATATAACCAAAGGGTCAAAAAACATTTAAGTCAGTTTAAAAATTAAACTTTAGGAGAAATGATAAACCTTGTAAAAGTCTCATTAAATTTCAGAAGCCTACAAAACGTCAGCAACAGAAAACATTTAGTTCACATGTATATTACATTCTGGTTGAATTTTTTTCTTCTGTCCTTTTAGTTTTATATTGGCTGGTCTTTTCACCAACAAATTTAGTTTGTAAATCTTGTTTTTAAGCAATAGAAAATCCTTTATCATTTCTAGAAGATAAACCCACACTAGAGAGAAAAGACTATTTAACCTCAAAGTCTACAGCATAATAAACTACAGGGTAAATGAAAAAATTTTTTTGTGTGTATGTATGTATTTCTAAGGGAAACAATCCTGTATAAAACTCACTGGATGACACCAGTTTTTCTAAAAGTGGTAATTAATACTTGAAGGATAAAACACTATTTTAAAATTCATGTTCCAAGTCAGTTTTTTACTTTAATAATAGTTACAAAATAAGGAACAACGCACATGAAGCAATAATAACTGAAATCATAAATTAGCCATGCATGCAGTTCATACTTTGTAGAGGGAGGTAGGAGGCACTGAAAGTACACTGTTGGACCAGGGTATCTGGAACTCTATACATAAAATTCTGTGTCATATTCTTTTTTTTGAGGAGGAGGAGTTTCACTCTTGTTGCCCAGGCTAGAGTGCAATGGTGTGATCTCGGCTCACTGTAACCTCCGCCTCCAAGGTTCAAGCGATTGTCCTGACTCAGCCTCCCTAGTAGCTCAGATTACAGACATGAACCACCACGGCCGGCTAATTTTGTATTTTTAGTAGACACGGGGTTTCTCCATGTTGGTCAGTCTGGTCTCGAACTCTCGACCTCAGGTGATCCGCCCGCCTCAGCCTCCCAAAGTGCTGGGATTACAGGCGTGAGCCACAGTGCCCGGCCTCATATTCTTTCACTTAATCCACAATATCATGTACCAATGGGCAAAACTTTGCTCCATTTCTAAAACTAGTTAAACTGAGAAATTATTCAAAGGCACATTTTATATATAAGATATAGCAATTTTAAACATCTTACCCCTTGTGACAAATAAGAAATGGTGCAAAGCCACTAGATATCATTTGAATATAAAAACTTTTCTTTTAAAAAAGCTCTCATTTCCCATGCAATTTTAAGAAATAAAATTTTCCGCAAAGGGATGGGAGGAATGTGATTTCATGAGAATTACTAAACTTGGAGAGAGTCCAGATCTAAAATAATAAAATTGGTTATAAGCTGACAAATTTTATTGACTTAACTGCAGGTTAAGATTTCACTCAGAAGGCTTTCAGGAAAAGGCCCTGACAAGTTAAATGAGAAAGATTTAAAAACATAAATTCAAGAAGCTACATAAATACTCATAAAAGGTTATACAGTGTGCTGTATTTTTGAGATTACTTTTTTTGAGCCTTTTAAGTCAAAGAGTCAGTTTAGTGATTTAAATATGTAAACTGAGAACACCGTTAAATGATAGACTGGATTAAGAAAATGTAGCATATATACACCATGGAATACTATGCAGCCATAAAAAGGATGAGTTGATGTCCCTTGTAGGGACATGGATGAAGCTAGAAACCATCATTCTGAGCAAACTATCACAAGGACAGAAAACCAAACACCACATGTTCTCACTCATAGGTGGGAATTGAACAATGAGAACACTTCGACAGAGGGTGGGGAACATCACACATCGGGGCCTGTCATGGGGTGGGGGGGATGGGGGAGGGATAGCATTAGGAGAAATACCTAATGTAAATGACGAGTTAATGGGAGCAGCAAACCAACATGGCACATGTATACATATGTAACCAACCTGCACGTTGTGCACATGTACCCTAAAACTTAAAGTATAACAATAATAAAAACTGAAATTTCCTCAACAAAAGGCAATGTGAAGTAGTTACAAACATGTACTACACAATCCTGCCTGAAGGTTGGAGTCTTCAGTTATGTAATGGTCTAGGGCACAGCAAAAAAATAAAATAAAAATAAAAAAAGAGTATTAGACATAAAAGAAGAAACATTTTTACCCCACTCCAATCTGACAGTGCAAAAATATAAGTATATAATTAAGGCTGCCTTATCTATCTAGAGTGATAATGGGCATTGACCCATCCATTAAAAAAAAAAAAAAAGAGAGAGTGAGAAGCCAAAAATTGAAGAGAAAGGTATACTTGAAGGAATTGGTTTACACTACTACTGTAATGTGAGCATTAGATAACTTAATGCTGTTTAGCCTGATGATATTACAGTTCTTTCAGTGGAGAGATGGTGGAGTTACAATTATCAGGTGGCTGAATTATGTATGCTGAGTTACTTACCCAAAGGAAAAGACTGAGGAATAATAATTGCAAAAATCTGCAGTTGTCAATGACACATATATGTACTCAAAATAAAGGGGAAGTACAAACAACAAAAAAAGGGAGTACAGGCTAACTATAACAGAACAATCACATCAGATTAATGTCTAGTTTCTTAGGTCTTATGCCTTAATAAACAAAAAGTTAGTAATGACAATATGATACCTAAACGACATGTCTATGACAGCTAAGGTGAAACAGAAGCCAAATAGATTTATTGCAGAAAGAAATGGCACAAGAAAACATTGGCATGCAAGTGCTTTTGATAACCATCTCTTATGAGACTTATAATAAATAGCATCTTTGATTTTGAATATATCTAACTGGTATGGCTGCTTGTCTTCATTTGGTAGTTCAATTAGTAGCAGAGTGGTCAACATGAAAGCTAAATTTGCTACATTGAGACCTCAAACCATGGTGGCAACACTGTTTATTTCCATGAAGCAGGGAAAATCCTTATGAATAAAGAACTAAGGAGTAAAATCACTTAGCTTATACAGGACTTAAAAAGGCTTTTCAACTAAGACATTTCTACATGAAATTTGGTACTTCATAATGGGATAGTTGTATGTACTTCACAAACTTCAAGATTACTAAAATATGCACATACAGATAACAGTAAGCAACAACAACAAAAAGGAATCAGAAGTATCAAGGTACTGACCCATGTCCTGAAGGAGCAATGAAGTATGAACAACACTGCACCCTGTTATCAGGCATCTGATGTCTGTTCACGCATGATTCTGCATTTAGGTAGTCCTCAAATTTACTATCAATGTAATCGATAACAGGCTGCCAGCTATAGAATGCAAATAAACAATTAAGTTGCAATTCTACATATGAATTAACTGATGACTGTTAACGGACAATAATCAATATTTTCAAATAGGCAAAATGAATTTACCAGTGGAAGACATGTCCAGTTAGTCTATATAAAGATTCAAAAATATAAATTATGTTGAATAAATCTTTATTCATTATTTCAAAACGTTTCAAATGAAAGAAAATAAACTATTGTCGAAACACAGCTAAATTATTAGCATATTATTTGCACTAATAACACACTTCATAATATGAAAACAATTATATTCAGTCTTAAATTTCAAATGAGAGATTACTTTAAATAATATAAAAACTTCATGATGAACTTAGGAGTTTTAAGAGTTGACAGAAAAATACCTCAAAAACAATGTGAATTCAAACAAAAATAAAAGTATTATTTATAAAATACTAAGATAATTACTTCAGACTAAAATTTCATAGTTGTTTTCTTCACTTAGGACTTACGGAAAAACTGAAGGTCTAAATATCAGGTTTAAATTAGGATTGAGATAGAATTTATACAAATGGATAAAATTAAAGCAAACAGTTTTAAATTTCTTACAATAATGAGAATTCTTCTATCTAGCTACATTATTTTAGAGTACGTCTTAAAAACAATTTTATGATAGGTATTATCTCCATTTTATAGAAAAGTAAATGGGTTTAAAGAAGTTAAACAACTTTATCAAATAAGTGGCAAAGTTCGTATACAGACCCAAGTCATGTTACTTGAAGTTCGGTGACCTTTGCTAAGATGAGAAGTGACTACAGGCTGCTGTACCATTTAATAAGAAGTGCACATCTAGAGTCTAGTCCCTTGCTCTATAAAGTGTGATCTACCCCAACCAGCAGCATCAGTATCACCTGGAATCTTGTTAGAAATGTAGAAATACAGCCCATCTCAGACCTACTAGAAGAACTAAATTTCACAGGATACCTAGGATTGGAATGCATAGCAAAGACTGAGAAGCAGTAAATTAGATCACATATAACTTGGGAGTCTTACAGAATTGCAATTGCCATTCAACTATGATATGGTATTATCCCACTGACTAATATAGAACACTGTATTTAAATAACAATAGCTTTTCTAAAAATCATGTTTTCTCTACATCATCCAATGCAATTTCCTGCAATGATGAAAATCTTCATATATGTGCTGCACAAAATGGCAGCCACTTGCCACATGTGGCTGTTGAGCACTTGAAATGTATCTGGAGCAAACAAGAAATTGCATTTTTAATTTAATTAATTTTAATTGATTTATACACATGGCAAATGACTATCATACTAGACAGCACAACTCCAGGGGAACTGGTTACTATGTCACAGTGCCATCTCTAGGAGAGTCCTTAGGACAAATTTGGAAAGTTCTAGTAAAGATAATTCTTCTGATTAACTGTACTTCTTTTTTTTTTAAATTTTATGAAGTCATATTTATCATCTTACACTGGCTAAGCCCAAGTTTGCATCTTACCTCTAAGGAAGCATAATAAAAGTTACAACATGTGCTTTGTGTGTATTAATATTATTCCAGCTTATCATCAATTAACAATACTAATATCCATACCTGTACAGTCTTTTTAATTCTGTGAGAAGGACCTGGATACTCTGGAGAATACAAATCTATGAGGAATAATGAGTTGATTAATGTCGACTTTCCCAATCCACATTCGCCTAAAAGAAATAAGGGAAAATATCTGTTAAACTCACCCACTTTACTCAACCTTAAATATTCAACAGATGCTAGAATCGAACTGGCTTTATGCAAGTACTTCTTGGTGAGACAATGAAATGACTTTAGAAAATATGCTACAAAGAATAAGTATCTTCTCCTCAGTTTCTTAGCTATCAAATTAAACTAATGTTTCCAAGGATTCTTTTCAGCCTTCTAATTACACCACTTATATTCATTAAAAATAATGTATCTAATAATCTACATTGTTAACAGTAATGTATTCCCAAAGAAAAATGTCAGTCATTATTAAAAAACCCAACTTGGATTATATATCACTGTTTTAGTGAAATAAAGTTTTTCTTTATTAATAGATAATAATCAATGAATAATAAACAAGAAATCATGCAGCTATAAAAAGCAAAAATCTGCTAATACAAAGAATAATTAATCACAATGAACATCTCCGTATAAAATTCTAAATCACAAAAAATACTTTCTAATTTAGCCACCCATCAGCCTAAATATAAGGGTGCTTCTCCACAAACCAGAATCCAAAAAATCTTAGGTAATTACTTTTTCTACTGCTTCTACTTGAGGTAGGAGGTAGACAAGAAGGAAGCCAGAGCATGATTTCTACTCTGATCACATACTCTTTTTTGACTCTCCATGTCTAGTCCAATACACATAGTCTAGTGTATAGTAACCATTACAAGTATACCAAAATATAAATGGCTTCAAGGTACATATAACCTAAGGTTAAAACAAATTATAAATCATATTATGATAATTAACATGGCACAAAGTATTTACTGTTAATAATTCACTTAGCATAATAGGCATGTTTAGCCTAAGTAACTGATGTCACAATGCTTCTATCTAGGAGGAATTCTTTTTATATTAGCTCTCAAGAGAGATAAGATCCTTTCCACGTGGTTTGGGCTTGCCCCTTTGACTGAGAGCATGCCATTTTTTACTAGAGGTTGATGTATGACTCAACTCAGAGTCGAGTATGAAAAGTGGGGATAATAGCACCTGCCTGTACCCTGGTACAGATCATATGATGTTGACTTATTTACTTGTGGAGTCAGGGTCTCTCTCTGTTGCCCAGGCTGGAGTGCAGTGGCACGATCATGGCTCACTGCAGCCTTGAACTCCTGGGTGTGGTGGTGCGCACCTGTAGTCCCAGCTACTCGGGAGGCTGAGGCAGGAGAATCGCTTGAACTCAGGAGGCAGAGGTTGCAGTGAGCCAAGATCACGCCACTGCACTCCAGCCTGGTGACAAAGCAAGACTCCATCTCAGGAAAACAAAACAAAACAAAATTAAATTAAGAAGTTCTAGTATCTAAATGAGCAAAATCACCAGGCACAGTGGGTCACACTTGTAATCCCAGCACTTTGGGATGCCGAGGTGGGTGGACCATCTGAAGTTAGGAGTTTGAGACCAGCCTGCAGTGAGCCAAGATTGCACCACTGCACTCCAGCCTAGGAGACAGAGTGATACTCCATTTCAAAAAAAGAATTAGCCAAGGGTGGTAGCATGCACCTGTAGTCAGTCCTAGCTACTGGGGAGGCTGACGGGGAAGGATTCCTTGAGCCATGATTGCGCCACCTCACTCCAGCCAGGGCAATAGAGCAAGGCCCTGTCTCAAGAAAAACACACACACACATACACACAAACAAAACACATAACAGGACAGAACAGCATCATTTCCTTATCATTAGTATGAAGAAGTGAATTGCCTGTAAAAGTTTCCATTTTCAAAAAAAGCATTAAAATATAGCATAAGGCCAGGCACGATGGCTCGTTCCTGTAATCCCAGCACTTTGGGAGGCTGAAATGGATTGCCTGAGCCCAGGAGGTGGAGGCTGCAGCGAGGATTGAGGCTCAAGAGATCCTCCCGCCTCAGTCCCGCAAGCAGCAGGGACTACAAGCGCTTGCCACCATGCCCAGCTAATTGTTTGTATTTTTGTAGAGACAGGGTTTCACCATGTTGCCCAAGCTAGTCTGGAACTCCTGAGCTCAAGCGATCCGCCGGCCTCGGCCCCTCAAAGTGCTGGGATTACAGGCGTGAGTCACCAGTCCTGGCCCAATTACTTTCTTCAATCTGAGCATGAGCGCTGGAAGAAAAGCTCTCACATATAATTTTTTAGAGACAGAGTCTCCCTCTGTCACACAGACTGGAGTGCAATGGCACAATTTCGGCTCACTGTAACCTCAACCTCCCGTGCTTGATCGCTTATATAATCTCTGCTCACTGTAATCTCAACCTCCCGGGCTGGATTCCATATATATAAATACATACATATATTTGTTTGTTTAGACGTTATCTCAGTCTGTCCAACAGGCTGGAGTGCAGTGGCGCGATCTCGGCCCACTGCAACCTCCGCCTCCCGGGTTCAAACAATTCTCTGCCTCAGCCTCCCGAGTAGCTGGGATTACAGGCGCCCGCCACCACGCCCGGCTAATTTTTGTGTTTTTAGTAGAGACGGGGTTTCACCATGCTGGCCAGGCTGGTCTTGAACTCCTGACCTCGTGATCCACCCGCCTCGGCCTACCAAAGCGCTGGGATTACAGGCGTGGGCCACCGCTCCCGGCCGATTGCTTATATTTTTAAAAAGATGTTTTCTTCGTTTCCTAGCCCCTTCTAACCCGCTACAAAGTTTCAAAGGCTTAATGCTATCGCAAAGGGCCTTCAGAGGTCAAGCTCGGGGGTGCAGCTCCCTAATGAGAGGCAGCCTGAGAGGGGACCGACCCCGCCCAGGATGAGTGGCGCCAGGTAGCGGGGGGACGCTCCCGGGGGTCCCCGGGCCCTGGCTGGGGGAGGTGTTGTGGGGCGCACGTACCCAAGCTCAGGTGGGACGACTGCGCGGCCGCGGCTGCAGCTGGCGCTGGCCATTGAGGGGCTTCTGCGCCACCGTGCGATGGTGCCCGCCAGGTGCCTGCCGGTTGGTGCGCAGCGCCTGTTCGCGCAGAGTCTGGCCTTTGCTGCGCCCGGCCAAGTCGTAAATCTCCTCCTCGTAGCTTACAGGCGACGGCGGCCAGGCCGAAGCCTCTGGACACAGAAGCGCTAGTTCAGCGGCGGGTTACAGCCCGCCCGGCCGCCTGCGGCCAGTCATCCGCACATGCGCCCTCCTGGAAGCCCCAGCAGCCCCTCCGCGAGTTCCGATTGGCTCCGCGTGAGAGACGTTCCTCGGCGACGCCATAGAGGTGGGCCTTCGGCGACGTCACAGGCGAGGGCGTTCGGCGACGTTACTGGGGCTGCACGGTGCTTGTAGCTGGGCAGTCTTATCATCAGAGTGGAGCCTGGTAACCACGACCTCCCCGCCAGGTCCTGTGTGTTGCTAGCTGGAGAAGGGTAGTTGAAAACTCAGACCAAGCACAGTGTTTATATCGGTCAAAACTGGAAAACTATGTCCGGGCGCAGCCGAGGCTGGAGGATCCCTTCAGGCCAAGAGCAACCTAGCAATATGGCGCGACCGGATCTCTGTAGTCCTACCTCAACCCCCAGCTACTTGAACCCCAAGGTTGAAGGCTCCAGTGAGCTATGATCCCACCACAGCATTGCAGCCTGCCAGACTGAGGTAAACCCTGTCTAAAATAATAATAATAAAAAAAAACTATCCAAGTGTGCAAGGGGAGGGACTGCTTAAAAAAAACATGAGGCTGGCTGGGCCCTGTAATCCCAGCGTTTTGGGAGGCCGAGGCGGGAGGATGGATGGCTTGGGCTCAGGAGTTTGAGACCAGCCTGGGCAACATGATGAAACCCGGTCTCTACAAAAGGTACAAAAATTAGCCAGGCGCGGTGCGCACCTGGCCAAATTTTTGTACCTTTTGTAGAGATGGGGGTCTCGCTATGTTGCCCAGGCCGGTTTCGAACAACTGGGTTTAAGCGATCTTCTCACCTTGGCCATCAGAGTTGTCGGGATTACAGGCGTGAGGGACCGCGCCCTGCTTGGATTAGGCTATTTAATAACATAAAGTGCTCATCCAGGCTTGCTGGCTGACACCTGTAATCCCAGCACTTTGGGAGGCCGAGGCGGGTGGATCACCTGAGGTCAGGAGTTCGAGACTAGCCTGGCCATGGTGAAACCCAGTCTCTACAAAAAATACAAAAATTAGCCGTATGTGGTGGTGCATGCCTGAAGTCCCAGCTCCTCGGGAGGCTGATACAGGAGAATCGCTTGAACCCAGGAGGCAGAGGTTGCAGTGAGCCGAGATCGCACCACTGCACCCCAGCCTGGGCGACACAGTGAGACTCCAGTTTGACACCAACCTGGGCAATGTAGTGAAACCCTATCTCTATAAAACAAACAAAAAACCGAGGTGTAAATGTGTCCACCTGTGGCCCTAGCTACTTAAGAGGCTGAGGCAGGAGGATCACTTGAGGCCAGGAGCTCAAGGCTGCAGTGAGCTATGATCATCCCACTGCTCTCCATCCTGAGCAATAGAATGAAAGCCTGTCTCTAGATAGTTAGCTAGCTAGCTAGATAATTGACACGTAGTTTTCTTTCTTTCTTTCTTTCTTTTTTTGAGACAGAGTCTTGTTCTGTCACGTAGGCCGGGGTGCAGTGGTGTGATCTTGGCTCACTGCAACCTCTGCCTCCTGGGTTCAAGCGATTCTCCTGCCTCAGCCTCCTGAGTAGCTGGGAATTATAGGCACACACCACCACGTCTGGCTAACTTTTTGTATCTTTAGTAGAGATGGGGTTTCACCATGTTGGTCAGGCTGATCTTGAGCTCCTGACCTCGTGATATGCCCGCCTCAGCCTCCCAAAGTGCTGGGATTACAGGCATGAGCCACCTCGCCCAGCCGATATGTAGTTTTCTATGAGAAATTTTTTTCCTAGATTTGAACATGTTTTTCTAAAGTAGCATTCAACACATCAGCATTTTACAGTGTTATTAGTTGTAATATGATTATGTTTTTCTGAAATACAGTATCCTTTACAAAAGCAGTTTTGTCTTTCAAAGCACATAGGTCCTCAAGTGAATTTGTCTGATGTTGACGACCTTGGTACCATTTTGTCCACTTGATTGGAATAGTTAGTAATTTCAGGTCACTATTGGCCTTAGAGGAAGAGCCCAAAGGCAACAAACAAGGGCACTGGTGTCCAGTTGCCTTCTAGAAGCATTTTCACCTTTCCTTAAGGTTTCCCTTGATGAACATAGAAGTACTGCATGTAGAATTGACCCAGTGCTGCCCTGGAAACTGTATATTAGGCCAAATTTACATTTCTTACCTTTATGAGAGGCACCCTGGTAGGCTAGTGGAGTTACACATGAAGTATGATCTCAGCTGCACTGTCCAGAAATGCAACATGGTCCAATCAAATAGCATTCTTCTAACCGGTTTCTTAGCTATAAAATAAGAATAACAAATATACTCATCTAAAAAGACAGCTTATTGTATCTGAGTGGTCTTTTATTTTCTATGAAACTTTAACACAGTATTTTCATTGCCATACCACATTTGTTTTTTGTTTTATTTATTTTTATTTATTTATTTTTTTGAGATGGAATCTGTTTTTGTTTTTGTTTTTGCGATGGAGTCTCACTGTTGTCACCCAGGCTGCATTGCAGTGGCATGATCTCGGCTCACTGCAACCTCCGTCTCCCAGGTTCAAGTGATTCTCCTGCCTCAGCCTCCTGAAAAGATGGGATTACAGGTGGCCAACACCACACCCGGCTAATTTATATATATATATATATTTTTAGTAGACACGGGGTTACATCATGTTGCCCAGGCTGGTCTCAAACTCCTGACCTCAAGTGATCCACCCACCTCGGCCTCCCAAATTGCTGGGATTTTCGGCATGAGCCACTGAGCCCAGCTCGTTTTTGAAAAAGGATTTCTTGACCGGTCTTGGTGGCTTACACCTGTAATCCCAGCACTTTGGGAGGGAGAGGTGGGTGGATCAACTGAGGTCAGGAGTTCGAGACCAGCCTGGGCAACATGGTGAAACCCTGTGTCTACTAAAAATACAAAATTAACCAGGCATGGTGGTGCTTGCCTGTAATCCCAGCTACTTGGGCCTGGTAATTGAACCCCTCTGACCTGAGGATGAGAAACCTTGCCTCAGTTCTTCCCCAGGTGATCTGCCCAGGGGTAAGGAAGGAGAGACCGGAAAAGAGGACCCATGAGAAGGGCCCCGTCCTGGAGTTTGAGGCCCACTCCCTCCTGCCCTGGCCTCTCCTCTGTCTAGGACTCCTCCCTGCTCTGCCCCACTCCTGGAGACATGATGCATGGGAAGCTGCGTTTGAGTACACGCCTCAGCGGCATCCCTAAGCCCAAAGTGGGCAGGCTCACCTGCAGGGGATCAGAGTAACATGGCAGGAAGGGAGGGTGAAGGCCATCCTGGAACCGCACCTCTCTGCCTCACGTCACTCGGGTGCACTCCTCCCTCACCTCACTCAGGCAGCGGCATGAGTTCAATAGGAGTGATGCCCTGCTCCCTCTGCTGCCTCTTTTTAGTCTTGGGGCTACCATAACACTTTCCCTTCCCCAGCACTGCCAACCTGGTGGGACATTGGGCTTCCCTCTCCCAGGGTCCTGGGGACAGGCCCATCCCATATCATACCTGCAGAGAGACACTTTTTTTTTCTCCAGGGCTTGAGGATCAGCCAGGTTTCATGAGTTCAATGCAGACCTGAATCATACCAAGCTGAGACTGGGGTACACACTCTCCTCTACTGAAAAGTAGTGAGGGATTCCAACTTGGTGAGAGGGAGAGTGGGGGAGAGCCAGACCAGACAAGAGTGCTCACCTGGAAAAAGCCTGCCATCAAAGGCCATGGTGAGTGCTGGGTGCGGTGGCTCACTCCTCAGCACTTTGGGAGGCTGAGATAGGTGGATCACTTGAGGCGAGGAGTTTGAGCCCAGCCTGGGGAACATGGCAGAATCCCATCTCTACTAAAAATACAAAAATTAGCTAGGCATGCTATGCTCCTGTAATCCCTGCTACTCAGGAGGCTGAGGCAGGAGAATCACTTGAACTGGGGAGGCAGAGGTCGAAGTCAGCCAAGATTGTGTCACTGCACTCCAGTCTGGGAGACAGAGTGAAACTGTGTCTCAAAAAAAAGAAAAGAAAAGAAAATGGCCTTGGCAGAAGGACCGGCCTGGCGTGCCTTCCCTTGAGTTTCTCCTGTGTAGGCCCCTGCCATGAGGAGGCGCTTCCTTCTTCTTGTCCATGGCCCACAGCAAAGGAATGTGTGCTTCTAAGGGGTTTGGTGGGGCACTGTTGACAGAACTGGAAACCTTCTTCAGGTGGGGTTTTTTGTTGTTGTTGTTGTTGAGCTGGAGCCTTGCTCTGTCACCCAGGGTGGGGTGCAGTGGCACAATCTTGGCTCATTGCAACCTCCGCCCCACCCTGGGTTCAAACAGTTCCCATGTCTCAGCCTCCTGAGTAGCTGAGATTATAGGCATGTGCCACCACGCCTGGCTAATTTTTGTATTTTTTTTAGAAATGGGGTTTCACCATGTTGGCAAGGCTGGTCTCAAATTCCTGACCTCAAGTGATCCACCCACCTTGGCCTCCCAAAGTGCTGGGATTACAGGCATGAGCCACCATGCCCAGCCCCTTCATGTGGGTTTTGAGGCTTTACTACGATACTAGTTTCCCGTGGCTGCTGCAACAAATTATTGCGCACTAAATGTCGGTACTTTTTATAAGGTGAAACAGATTAGCTTGTGAGGCTTTTGTTGTGATGGTGATTTATTAGATTATTTAAAGACAGTAATGCTCAGGTGTTGTAAAATTATAAAAACAATCTTCACATTTCATAATTTTTTTTTTTGAGACAAAGTTTCACACTTGTTGCTGGAGTTGCAATCTCGGCTCACCACAACCTCTGCCTCCCGGATTCAAGAGATTCTCCTGCCTCAGCCTCCCAAGTAGCTGGGACTACAGGTGTGCATCACCCTGCCCAGGTAATTTTTGTCCTTCAGTAGAGACAGGGTTTCACCATGTTGGCCAGGATGGTTTTGATCTCTTGACCTCGTGATCTGCCTGCCTTGGACTCCTAAAGTGCTGGGATTACAGGTGTGAGCCACCCCTCAGCCCACATTTTATAACTTTAAAGCAGTATTAATGGTAATTGCCTTAGGGAAAGATACTTTTGTTGTGATATATAAGTATGATATTCAAGTATATTGTACAGCAAAGGACATTAAACCTAAGTCAGCACTAATGTGTTATATGGTACATGTAAAACTTTAGTACAAATATTAATGTTTAGCAAATTGACCTTAACACATAATGTTAACAAAAAAATGGAGCTGTTCTGATGATAGACCATTGGTTCTGTCTGATTTTAATACTCCCCATGCTCTTGACTTTTTCTTTTTTTTCTTTGAAACAGAGTCTTGCTCTGTCACCCAGGCTGGAGTGCAGTGGTGTGATCATAGCTCACTGCAACCTCCACCACTCAGGTTCATGTGATCCTCCCACCACAGCCTCCCTAGTAGCTGGGACTACAGGCGATTGCCACCATGCCTGGCTAATTTTTGTATTTTTAGTAGAGATGGGGTTTCACCTTGTTGGCCAGGCCAGTCTCAAACTCCTGACCTCAGGTGGTTCACCTGCCTCGGCCTCCCAAAGTGTTTGGGTTACAGGCATGAGCCACTGCACCTGGCTACCTTTTAACTTTTTATAGCTGTTATATTATTTTCATCTTAAGTAAATAAATGTTAGCTGAAATGGTACAGTTCAGGAGAATCTTCTGCTTCTGTTACTAAAAAAATTATTTTTATAAGTCCAATAAGGTTATGCTAATGTTTATGTTTGGAAAATATTACCTTTTCCGGCCAGGCATGGTGTCTCATGCCTGTAATCCCAGCACTTTGGGAGGCCAAGGTGGACGGATCTCCTGAGGTCAGGAGTTCAAGACCAGCCTGACCAATATGGTGAAACCCCGTCTCTACAAAAATACAAAAATTAGTAGGGCATGGTGGCAAGTGCTGTAGTCCCAGCTACTCGGGAGGCTGAGACAGGAGAATTGCTTGGACCCAGGAGGCGATGGTTGCAGTGAACTGAGATCCTGCCACTGCACTCCATCCTGGGTGACAGAGCGAGACTCCATCTCAAAAAAAAAAAAAAAATTACCTCTTCCATAGAGTACTATCTGTATTAAATAATATTAGCTTGTATGTTTTTCTGGCTTTATAATGTGGTTCAGATTTCTGTAGAAATTCTGGCTGTATCTACATTGCCTTAAAGTAATGGGATATTTCTTTTGTTTTTTTTCAGCTGGAGTTTTGCTCTTGTCGCCCATGCTGGAGTGTGATCCTGGCTCACTGCAATCTCTGCCTCCCAAGTTCAAGCGATTCTCCTAGCTCAGCCTCCTGAGCAGCTGGGATGACAGGCACTTGCCACAACGCCTGGCTAATTTTTCTATGTTTAGTAGAGATGGGGTTTCACCATGTTGGCCAGGCTGGTCTTGAACTCCTGACTTCGTGATCTGTCTGCCTCAGCCTTCCAAAGTGTTGGGATTACAGCCATGAGCCACCATGGCCAGCCTTTCTTTTCTTTTCAAAGCCACCCTTGGTGATGAAATGTAAAATATGCACCAGTGAATATTACTTTGCTGAATATTGCCTAGTGAATATTAAGTATTTATTCTCACCTTTCAGACATGAACTTATGAATTCAACACATGAAGACTTACAACTTGATAAACCAGCTTCAGGAGGTAGGTCTTCAGTCTTAAGTCAGATTAGAAGATTATGTGAAATAATTATTTAATGCTTAACAATGATTTTTTTAATGGTAGCTTTCACATGAAATAAGATCCCTCTTACTTTTAATTATGTTCCAGGACAGGAGAATTCATGTTGTCAAAATTCTAATACTCTTTAGAACAATAAACTCATTTTCTTTTTATTAACCCCTTATAAATACATGTAAATGTTGCATTTATGGTTAGACATAACTAAAAGCACAATATTTGTCCTACTTTTGAGATGCAAGATTTATCTGGCATAATGCATTGAACAGTTTATTATTGAAGTCTACACTAGTCAACTGAACAAGCATTCATCAAATGTCCACGATACCCAGGACATAAGAAGGTTCCTTTTAGAGTATGGAGCCATGCATATCATCTCTTAATTGTTAGATGTGTTTTGAAAGAAATAGAAATATAATTGATTTTCTTACTTGTTTTGGTTCTGGAGTGGAGTGCAGACAAAAAAGAATGGAATCACACTGTTTAGATTTACTAAAATGGAAGGATTGCCAGCAAGATCATATCCCTAGTCTCCCCATAGCAAATGGCACCTGCTAGCTGTTCACTGCTCTTTTTTTTTTTTTTTTTTTTTTTTTTTTTGAGATGGCGCTTTCCTCTGTTGCCCATGCTGGAGTGCAGTGGTATGATCTCAGCTCACTGCAAGCTCCACCTCCTGGGTTCAAGCAATTCTTCCTGCCTCAGCCTCCCAAGTAGCTGGGATTACAGGCACCTGCCACCATGCCTGCCTAATTTTTTTATTTGCAGTAGAGTTTGGGTTTCACCGTGTTGGCCAGGCTGGTCTGGAACTGCTGACCTCAGGTGATCTGCCCGCCTTGGCCTCCCAAAGTACTGGGATTACAGGCATGAGACAGCCTATCCTGTCTGCTAGTGGTTCTTGAGCACACAGTTCTGCTTTTTCCTAGCTTTAAAGAATGTCTGGTTCTTTCTTTTTTTGTGCAGTGTATGTCAGCATTGTTTCAGTAATAAATACAATCTGGATCTTAGAAATAATATTAGTCATGGTGCCAGGTGCAGTGGCTCACGCCTGTAATCCCAGCACTTTGGGAGGCTGAGGTGGGTGGAGCACGAAGTCAGGAGATCGAGACCATCCTAGCTAACATGGTGAAACCCTGTCTCTACTAAAAATACAAAAAATTAGCCGGGTGCGTGTAGTCCCAGCTACTCGGGAGACTGAGGCAGGAGAATGGCATGAGCCCAGGAGGCGGAGCTTGCAGTGAGCCGAGATTGTGCCACTGCACTCCAGCCTGGGTGACAGAGCGAGACTCCATCTCAAAAAAAAAAATTAGTCACAGGAAAGAAAAATACTGCCATTTTATAATAATAATATTTAATAACCTAAGTTATTAAACCCATTAGATTGAGAAAACTTGTATTCCTGTGATTTCGATAGTGAAGGAAGTATGGTATACCAGAATCACTAAATTATGAAAGATGGTAGATCAGCTTTTTGCAAAAAAATTTGGTAAGTCTGTTTTTTTCCCCTTCAATTAAATTATATTACTGAGTAATGTATTTTATAATGATGTTTTATTTAGGAAAGTAAATACAATGAGTAGGACTCAGCTCCAGTTTTCTCTTACTGTTTTGTTTTTGAGACAGAGTTTCGCTCATGTTACCCAGGCTGGAGTGCAGTGGCATGGTCTTGGATCACTGCAACCTCCACCTCCCAGGTTCAAGCTATTGTCCTGCCTCAGCCCCCAAGTAGGTGGGATTACTGGCACCTGCCACCATGCCCAGCTAATTTTTGTATTTTTAATAGAGATGGGGTTTCACCATGTTGGTCAGGCTGGTCTCGAACTCCTGACCTCAGGTGATCCACCCACCTCAGCCTCCCAACCTGCTGGGATTATAGGCATGAACCACCACGCCCAGGCTCTCATACTGTTTTATTTATTTTTTTTTTTATTTTTTTTTTCCAGGCTGGAGTGCAATGGTGCGATCTGGGCTCACTGCAACCTCTACCTCCTGGGTTCAAGCGATTCTCCTGTGTCAGCCTCCTGAATAGCTGGGATCACAGGCATGTACCACTACACCCAACT
Source organism: Homo sapiens (assembly GCF_000001405.40). Lineage (NCBI taxonomy): Eukaryota > Metazoa > Chordata > Mammalia > Primates > Hominidae > Homo > Homo sapiens. Next base: position 50,307,119 of record NC_000011.10, read on the forward strand.
AATTTTTTTTTTTGTATTTTTTGTAGTGATGGGGTTTCACCATGTTGGCCAGGCTGGTCTTAAGCTCCTGACCTCAGGTGATCCACCCGCCTTGGCCTTCCAGAGTGCCGAGATTACAGGTGAGAGCCACCGAACTCTGCCAGGAGTGGATTATTTTTATGCTTCACCTTTTAGACCACAGAGAATAACTTCCTGATGTTGCCATGGCATTTGTAAACTGCCATGGCATTGGTGGGAGTGTAGCAGTGAGGATGACCAGAGGTCACTCTCGTCATTATCTTGGTTTTGGCTGGCTTTTTTACTGCAACTCATTTTATCAGCAAGGTCTTTATGACCTGTATATTGTGCTGACCTCCTCCGTCACCCTGTGACTTAGAAAGCCTTAACCATCTGGGAATGTAGCTCAGTAGGTCTCAGCCTCATTTTACCCAGCTCCTATTTAAAATCAAGTTGCTCTCATTTAAATGCCTATGACAGTATTGCTGCTTTCTTTAAGGTTCCTGAAAGGGAGAGAGGAAATCTTCGATTTTTCATGGCTGTGAACCACTGCAAGTATTGAAGAAATATTTACTACTTCCAGCCTCATAATCCTGCAGTCATTTGGCACCTGTGAGTCAGGTGTGGGGGGAACTACCCCATACATTCTGGAGCATTCAATCTGGTGGGGAAAGGTGTAGTAAGTAGGAGATATTTACTACATAAGGTGTTAAGGTCTGGGATAGAATTAGGTAGAATAAGGGGATGGGGAGGCAGGGGGTGTGACTGGGGCAGCCTTGATGATAAGTGAGGAGCACATTCTGCAGTTGGTCTCACCTCTTTCTGAAACTTCCACTTTTTTCACTCTCAACTTCAACAATTGGTTCTTTTTTATTTTATAGAAAGTTTGTTAGAATTAGGTTTATATATTTTCTTGCTGAATTAACAGGATAATTTTATTTAACATCACTCTCTAGTGTGACTGAAAGCCTCTAATCCTTTACTGTTATTTGTTTATGGGCATATTTGTTTTTACAGCTATGATAATTATTTCATTTTGTGTGGTTTCTCAAAAACATGTGTTTCTTATATCAAAGAGTCTGTATACTAGAGTCTTTCAGATTTGGTGCTAATAACATTAAGTAAGAATTTAAGACAAGTCTTGAGATGTTAGAGGAAAGCCAGTCTAGGAACAAATAAAGTAATTATTAATTTATTTATTTTGAGTTGACATTTAAGTTGAGGTGTGGAGGTGGAGGAGACAGTTGGATAAATGAGTTTGGAAGTAAGGAGAAAGATCTGGCAATAGATATAATTTTGGATTTTATAGTGGTGTTTTGATAGCAATTGTTGCTATCGCCAAAATAATTCATCAACGAGCTCCCTGACAGCTCCCTGACCTTTCTTTTTAAAGAAACAGGGTTGGCCGGGTGCGGTGGCCCATGCCTGTAATCCCGGCATTTTGGAAGGCAGTTCACCTGAGGTCAGGAGTTTGAGACCAGCCTGACCAACATGGAGAAACCCCATCACTACTAAAAATACAAAATTAGCTGGGTGTGGTGGTGTTTGCCTGTAATCCCAGCTACTCTGGAGGCTGAGGCAGCAGAACTGCTTGAGCCCAGCAGCCAGAGGTTGCAGTGAGCCGAGATCACACCATTACACTCCAGCCTGGGCAACAAGAGTGAAACTGCATCTTAAAAAAAAAAAAAAAAAAGAAACAGGGTCTTCTTATGTTCTCTGGGCTGGACTAGAACTCCTATGCTCACGTTATCCTCCTGCCTCAGTCTCCAAGTAGCTGGGGCTATAGGCACATGCCAGCATGTCCAGCTTTGAGCCACTCCCACCCATCATGTTGCAAAATATTTAAATGTTACATACAGAGATGCGAGGGAGATGTGCATATAAGCAGCACCATGTAAATTGCTTGAATCTTTTTTTTAGAGTTCTGTTTGGATGTGGCTTCAGAGCAGGGATTAGTCAATTCATTTTTACTTTTTTTATTTTCTGAGGTGGATTCTCACTCTGTCACCCAGGCTGGAGTGCAGTGGCAAAATCTCAGCTCACTTCAGCCTCCGCCTCGTGGATTCTCTTGCCTCAGCCTCCTGAGTAGCTGGGATTACAGGTGCCTGCCACAATACCCGGCTGATTTTTGTTTGTTTGTTTATTGTATTTTTGGTAGAGACAGGCTTTCACCATGTTGACCAGGCTGGTCTCGAAATCCTGACTCATGTGATCCACCTGCCTCGGCCTCCCAAAGTGCTGGGATTACAGGTATGAGTCACTGCGCCTGGCTGTTTTATTTTACATTTTTAAATCACAATTTTTATACCTATTCAAAAGTAGAGAAAATAGTACAATGACCACTAAAATACCCATTCCTCAATTTCTGTGATCTTTAAGATTGTCCCACATTTTGTTCTATTCCTTTACCTCCCTTTGCAGGAATATTGTAAAGCACATCAGTCATCACATCATTTTATCTGTTCAGTGTGCATCCCCGAACAACATTTACATATTCCTACACAGCCAGTATCTCATCACATCTGACAAAATTAACAACGATTTTTTTGTTGTCAGCTCATATGCAGCCCTTAGTTGAGTTTCCTCACTCTTTTCTTTTCTTTTTTTTTTTTTTTTTTTTGAGACAGAGTCTTGTCCTGTCGCCCAGGCTGGAGTACAATGGCGTAATCTCGGCTCACTGCAGCCCCTGCCCCCTGTGCTCCAGTGATTCTCCTGCCTCAGCTTCCTGAGTAGCTGGGATTACAGGCACATGCCACCACACCCGGCTAATTTTTGTATTTTTAGTAGAGATGGGGTTTTGCCATATTGGCCAGGCTGGTCTTGAACTCCTGACCTCAGGTGATCCTGCCACCTCGGCCTCCCAAAGTGCTGGGATTACAGGCATGAGCCACTACACCCAGCCAAGTTTCTCACTCTTACCTGGACGGTATCTCATTTTCTCATTATCTGAAAAATTTTGCTTTAAATCTGGATCCAAAAAATCTTCACGTGCTAACTTTGGTTGTTATGCTTCTTGTAATCTAAACTGGCCTCTGCTTACTTTTTTTATTTCCCAATTCATGAATTCTATGTGCAGAGTTTTTATATATATATATATATCTTGCTCACGAGGTTGAAGGGGTAAAGAACATTGATCTTGTTGTTTCAGTGTAGATGAAAGTTTAGCCTGAAATGTGCCAGTTTGCAGCAGCCAATGGAGGAGGGTTATTACAGTCATGAACAGTTCATAGCAAAAGGCTGCTTCCAAATAGTATTTGCAGGCCGGGCGCAGTGGCTCATGCCTGTAATCGCAGCCCTTTGGAAGGCAGAGATGGGTGCATCACTTGAAGTTAGGAGTTTGAGACCAGCCTGGCCAACATGGTGAAACCCTGACTCTACTGAAAAGTACAAAAGTTAGCCAGGCATGGTGGCGGGCACCTGTAATTTTAGCTACTCAGGAGGCTCAGGCAAGAGAATCACTTGAACCCAGGAGGCAGGGGTTGGAATGAACCGAGATCATGCTACTGCACTCCAGCCTGGGTGACAGAGCAAGACTCCATCTCAAAAAAGAAAAAAAACAAAACAAATAGTATTTAGGTTGTATTCTTTATTGTCTATAATGATTTTCTTTCTCTCTCTTCTTCCTAAGGATATTGAAAAATAGAGTTCAATCTTTTAAGATCTTAGAGTTATTAAGATTGTCTTGGGACCAGGGCACTTAAATTTGCCAAAATCAGGCTGTTAATGATGGGTAATTTTTATTTATTTATTTATTTATCTGTTTATTTATTTATTTTTGAGATGGAGTCTCGCTCTGTCACCCAGACTGGAGTGCAGTGGCGCTATCTCTGCTCACTGCAAGCTCTGCCTCCCAGGTTCACGCCATTCTCCTGCCTCAGCCTCCTGAGTAGCTGGAACTACAGGTGCCCGCCACCACACCCAGCTGATTTTTTGTATTTTTAGGAGAGATGGGGTTTCACCGTGTTAGCCAGGATGGTCTCGATCCCCTGACCTCGTGATCTGCCCGACTCGGCCTCCCAAAGTGTTGGGATTACAGGCGTGAGCCACTGTGCTTGGCTATTCTTCTTATTATTATTTTAATTTTTAAAATTTTTATTTCTCAGCCTTGGGATTCTGATATGTAAACATGCAAGTATCTTCAAAGATAGAAAACATACACAGTTATCATTAAAATGGGAGAACTCAGAATATACAATCATGGAGCAGTGCCCTCCACCAGCCCCCCAGCTAACTACAGCTGCAAGCATGATTCTCATGCTCTCTCGTACCTAGTGTTCAACTAGTGACACAGCTTCTTCACTCATGGGGAAGGGCCATCAGCAAATGGCACTCAAGCATGGTGGCTTGAGAAAGATCCCACACACTCGAGGCCATGTTGGAGACATTTCATGAAAGGATTAGGTGGGTTACCCCTGGCTTTCTGCTCCAGAGTTTATCAAGACTGATATTAAAGTAAATGCATTGTAAGCCACACATACAAGTTGTGGAGTGAAGTAAACAGAGTGATTTTTTTGTTTGTCCTGTTTTATAGGCTTTAATTAAATTGTGGCCTTGGATTGGGGGCAGGATTTTGTGATTATTTTTATTTTTATTATACTTGAAGTTCTGGGGTACATGTGAAGAATGTGCAGTTTTGTTACATAGCTATACACACGTGCCATGGTTGTTTGCTGCACCCATCAACCCCTCATCTACATTAGGTATTTCTCCTAGTGCTATCCCTTCTTTAGCCCCCAACCCCCCGACAGGCCCCGATGTGTGATGTTCCCCTCCCTGTGTCCAAGTGTTCTCATTGTTCAACTCCCACTTATGAGTGAGAACATGCAGTTTTTGGTTTTCTGTTCTTGTATTCGTTTGCTAAGAATGATGATTTCCAGCTTCATCCATGTTCCTGCAAAGGACATGAACTCATCCTTTTTTATGCCTGCATAGTATTCCATGGTGTATATGTGCCACATTTTCTTTATCCAGTCTATCATTGATGAACTTTTGGGTTAGTTCCAAGTTTTTGCTATTGTGAATAGTGCCACAATGAACATACTTGTGTATGCATCTTTATAGCAGAATGATTTATAATCCTTTAGGTATATGCCCAGTAATGGGATTGCTGGATCAAATGGTATTTCTGGTTCTAGATCCTTGAGGAATCGCTACACTGTCTTTCACAATGGTTAACCTAATTTACATGCCCAACAACTGTGTAAAAGCATTCCTATTTCTCCACATCCCCTCCAGCATCTTCTGTTTACTGACTTTTTAATGATCACCATTCTAACTGGAGTGGTTTTGATTTGCATTTCTCTAATGACCATTGATGATGAGCTTTTTTTCATCTGTTCTTTAGCTGCATGAATGTCTTCTTTTGAGAAGCGTCTGTTCATATCCTTTGCCCACTTTTGATGGGGTTGTTTTTTTCTTGTAATTTTGTTTAAGTTCTTTGTAGATTCTGGAAATTAGCCGTTTGTCAGATAGACAGATTGCACAAATTTTGTCCCATTCTGTAGGTTGCTTGTTCACTCTGATGATAGTTTCTTTTGCTGTGCTGTGCTCTTTAGTTTAATTAGATCCCATCTGTCAATTTTGGCTTTTGTTGCCATTGCTTTTGGTGTCCTTTTAGTCATGAAGTCTTTGCCCATGCCTATGCCCTGAATGGTATTGCCTAGGTTTTCTTCTAGGGTTTTTATGGTTTTAGGTCTTACGTTTAAGTCTTTAATCCATCTTGGGTTAATTTTTGTATAAGGTGTAAGGAAGGGGTCCAGTTTCAGTTTCTGCATATGGCTCAAGCAGTTTTCCCAACACCATTTATTAAATAGGGAATCCTTTCCCCATTGCTTGTTTTTGTCAGGATTGTCAAAGATCAGATGGTTGTAGATGTGTGATGTCATTTCTGAGGCCTCTGTTCTGTTCCATTGGTCTATATATCTGTTTCAGTACCAGTACCATGCTGTTTCGGTTACTGTAGCCTTGTAGTATAGTTCGAAGTCAGGTAGCGTGATACCTCCATCTTTGTGCTTTTTGCTTAGGATTGTCTTGGCTATGCGGGCTCTTTTTTGGTTCCATATGAAATTTAAAGTAGTTTTTTCCAATTGTGTCAAGAAAGTCAATGGTAGCTTGATAGGGATAGCATTGAATCTATAAATTACTTTGGGCAGTATGGCCATTTTTACAATATTGATTCTTCCTATCCATGAGCATGGAATGTTTTTCCATTTATTTGTGTCCTCTCTTATTTCCTTGAGGAGTGGTTTGTAGTTCTCCTTGAAGAGGTCCTTCACATCCCTTGTAAGTTGTATTCCTAGGCATTTTATTCTCTTTGTAGCAGTTGTGAATGGTAGTTCACTCATGATTTGGCTCTCTATTATTGGTGTATAGGGATGCTTGTGATTTATGCACATTGATTTTGTATCCTGAGACTTTGCTGAAGCTGATTATCAGCTTAAAGCGATTTGGGGCTGAGACGATGGGGTTTTCTAAATAAACAATCATGCCACCTGGAAACAGAAATTTGACTTCCTCTCTTCCTAATTGAATACGCTTTCTTTCTTTCTCTTGCCTGATTACCCTGGCCAGAACTTCCAATACTATGTTGAATAGGAGTGGTGAGAGAGGGCATCCTTGTCTTGTGCCAGTTTTCAAAGGGAATGCTTCCAGTTTTTGTCCATTCAGCATGATGTTGGCTGTGGGTTTGTCATAAATAGCTCTTATTATTTTGAGATATGTTTCATCAATATCTAGTTTATTGAGAGTTTTTAGCATGAAGGGTGTTGAAATTTGTCGAAGGCCTTTTCTGCATCTATTGAGATAATCATGTGGTTTTTATCATTGGTTCTGTTTATGTGATGGATTACATTTGTCCATTTGCGTATGTTGAACAAGCCTTGCATCCCAGGTATGAAGCTGACTTGATTGTGGTGGATAAGCTTTTTGATGTGTTGCTGGATTTGATTTGTCAGTATTTTATTGAGGATTTTCACATCGATGTTCATCAGGGATATTGGCCTGAAATTTTCTTTTTTGTTGTGTCTCTGCCAGGTTTTATCTGGGTGATGCTGGCCTCATAAAATGAGTTAGGGAAGAGTCCCTCTTTTTCTGTTGTTTAGAATAATTTCAGAAGGAATGGTACCAGCTCCACTTTGTACTTCTGTTGGAATTCAGCTGTGAATCTGTCTGGTCCTGGACTTCTTTTGGTTGGTAGGCTATTAATTACTGCCTCAATTTCAGGACTTGTTACTGGTCTGTTCAGGGATTTGGCTTCTTCCTGGTTTAGACTTGGGAGGGTGTATGTGTCCAGGAATTTATCCATTTCTTCTAGATTTTCTAGTTTATTTGCATAGAGGTATTTATAGTATTCCCTGATGGTAGTTGGTATTTCTGTGGGATCAGTGGTGATGGCCCCTTTATCATTTTTTTTATTGCATCTATTTGATTCTTGTCTCTTTTCTTCTTTGTTATTCTGGCTAGTGGTCTATCTATTTTGTTGATCTTTTCAAAAAATCAGCTCCTGGATTCATTGAATTTTTGGAGGGTTTTTCTTGTCTCTATCTCCTTCAGTTCTGCCCTGATCTTAGTTATTTCTTGTCTTCTGTTAGCTTTTGAATTTGTTTTTTCTTGCTTCTCTAGTTCTTTTAATTTTGATGTTAGGGTGTCAATTTTAAATCTTTCCTGCTTTCTCTTGTGGGCCTTGCGTGTTATAAATTTCTCTCTAAACACTGTTTTAAATGTGTGCCAGAGATTCTGGTATGTTGTGTCTTTGTTTTTATTGGTTTTGAAGAACATCTTTATTTCTGCCTTAATTTTGTTATTTACCCACTAGTCATTCAGGAGCGGGTTATTCAGTTTCCATGTAGTTGTGTGGTTTTGAGTGAGTTTCTTAATCCTGAGTTCTAATTTAATTGCACTGTGGTCTGAGAGACTGTTTGTTATTATTTCCGTTCTTTTGCATTTGCTGAGGAGTGTTTTACTTCCAATTATGTGATCAATTTTAGAATAAGTGTGATGAAGTGCTGAGAAGAATGTATATTCTGTGGATTTGGGTGGAGAGTTCTGTAGATGTCTATTAGGTCTGCTTTGTCCAGAACTGAGTTCAAGTCCTTAATATCCTTGTTAATTTTCTCTCTCGTTGATCTGTCTAATGATGGGTCATTTATACTTGCCTTTGCTTTAAGTCTGTTTCAATAGTTAGTAAATATGTTTCTAGAGTTTTTCCAATTAAAAAAATTGACCTGCACCTTGCTTTGGATTGTACTAAAATCTGATTTCAACACAAACATAATCTTCTGAATTACTTTGGTTTTTTCAGCTGAAGCCTTGGGGAGCACTGAAGCCAAGGCTGCACCGTACCAAAAATTTGAAACATGTGAATGAGCTGAATGTGGAAGGACTACCGGAAAACACTCCTTTCAGAATCCCCTCATTGCATGAAATCCCAAGGCTCGAAAACATCTTTCAAGTGAGCAATTGAATTAAGTTTGTTATTAAGAGGTAAGATGATAATCTGCAGAAACAAATTCATTGTCTTCCCTAAGGAGAGATTAATTTGACCAAGATGGGCCTTTTGTTCCCCTCTCATCATGACTCCTTTATATTAAAATTAACATTTAGATTCATTTATTGAACAAACATTTATTTAGTATAAGCATCAGTTGTGCAAAATTGGTTCTAGCAAGAACCCTGTCCTTGGGAGGCTTAATACTCAGAAAAATGCAATGAAGAGTTATTGAGCATTTTTGGGGGAGAAGGCAAGGTTGGCACACCCAGATCAGTCACTTGTGCATCCAGAAGGGAGGCAATGTGTTTCAAATATGAGTAAAGGCAGAGAGGAGTCAAATATGCTCACATATTCACATACATTACCCATTCTGTGTGGAGTGAGGAGTGCCATGTGGGCATGGTGGGACTGCTTAGATAGACTTTTGTGGCCAAATGGAGGAAGGTCTTGGCTCCTACAAAAGCAGTGGCAGTCATTAACTGGTCTCATAGCAGTTTCCTCTTAAAATAATTTGGATCTGCCCTTTAGAAAAGTTAATCTGGCTTGATTTTGAAGGGTAACACATGAATAGTTTGAGTGTTTGGGGATAGGAACAGAAGGCCTCTCTCTACTCATAGAAGGAATGTTGAAGTGGGTAGAGTCTTGCTTACTGATTGAGGTTGTGCATCTGTGTATTCGTTGGGACTGAGTTATAAGGGAGAGGAAAGGTTTAAGATGATACAGCAAGCTGCTTCTGGCTGTGCTGTGGGACAGTTCATCTAAGATTCAGAAATATAATTGGGCTGGTTTGGGGGAAAAGTGACTTTTGCATATTTATCTTACAAAAAAGATGACTTTGGAGACATCCAGGTGGTCTCGCCTGAATGTCTGAAAATTGCTATTTTCAAAATTCAAGTCACCAAAATGATTTTTTTTCACTGTAAAATGAAGGCAGAATGGATTATGTTTAAAAATTGGCCGGGCACAGTGGCTCATGCTTGTAATCCCAGCACTTTGGGAGGCTGAGGCAGGTGGATTACCTGAGGTCAGGAGTTCAAGACCAGCCTGGCCAACATGGCAAAACCCTGTGTCTACTAAAAATACAAAAATTAGCCAGGTGTGGTGGTGTGAACTTGCGGTCCCAGCTACTCAGGAGGTTGAGGCAGGAGAATAGCTTGAACCTGGGAGGCAGAGGTTGCAGTGAGTCGAGATTGTGCCACTGCACTCCAGCCTGGATGACAGAATGAGACTCCATCTCAAATAATAATAATAATAATATTTAGCAGTGCAAAGCTGTGTGAGAAAGACCTGTAAATATCTTCTAAATGTTTTATTATAATATTAATATCAACTGTTTTTTACAGACCAAAACTTCTTACTCACAATACAACTGAAGTTACTCAGCCAAGAACAAATACAACAAGTAAAATAGTTGTGAAATCCTTTTTAAAAGCACAGATTAATCTTGAAGCTTTTAAAAATTAATCTTTTACATGATGGAACTGCTCCTTCCTTCACCTCCCCAAAAAATCTTTTGCAGAAGCTCAATATAGGCACTCTGTGATTTATCAATATGAACAGATGCAGTGTAGGGATAACCCAAGGTTTTTTTTTTCTTTCTTTTTTTGATACAGAGTCTCACTCTGTCACCCAGGCTGGAGTGCAGTGGTGTGATCTTGGCTCACTGCAACCAGGCTCAAGCAATTCTCCTGCCTCAGCCTTCCGAGTAGCCGGGATTACAGGCTAAGTTAGCCATGCCTGGTTAAGTTTTTTATTTTGTGTAGAGACGAGTTTTCACCATATTGGCCAGGCTGGGTTCAGGTGATCCTTCTGCCTGAGCCTCCCGAAGTGCTGGGATTACAGATGTGAGTCATCGCACCTGGCATTAAGCTTTGAATTTTGACCGGTGGTATCCAAAAGAAATACAATGTGTGCTGCAAATGCAAGCCACATACATAATTTTATATTTTCGAGTTCAACCTGAAATCATTATAAATAAACACACAATGAAGTATTTCACATTCTTCATTTGCATATATTCTTTTTGTTGACAATTGGTGTGTCTTTCATACTCACAGGATATTTCAGTTTGAAGTAGCCACATTTCAGCTGTTCAGGGATAACAGTTACTATTTGCCTTTAGACCTTAATGTTTATTCATGTGTGCCCTGTTCCTAAAATGGCAAATACTGTCATTCTGGCCTGCACACGAATATCACAGCTAACAGAAAAAGATCTAATAAGTCTCTGTTGAGCAAATAATGTCATTTTCTTTTTGAGGGGAATGAAGTTTTGCTCTTGTTGCCCAGACTAGAGTACAATGGCGCGATCTCAGCTGACCGCTACCTCCGCCTCCCAGGTTCAAGCGATCCTCCTGCCTCAGCCTTCCAAGTAGCTGGGATTCTAGGTGCATGCCACCATGCCTGACTAAATTTTGTATTTTTAGTAGAGATGGGGTTTTGCCACGTTGGCCAGGCTGGTCTCGGACCCCTGTCCTCAAGTGATCCGCCCACCTCGGCCTCCCAAAGTGTTAGGATTACAGGCATGAGCCACCGTGCCCAACCTAGTTTATTAGAGCTCTAAGTGTACCTTTATTTCCCATCTTTTTGTTTGCCATTGTGCATTGTCAGAGTAAGTGACCACAATTTGTAGATCATCCATTACCTTAGGAACTTATGTTGCCAAGAACTAATAAATGGCCATTTAGTATGAAGTTTTGTATTGTCAGGAAATAAGTGTTGGGAATCAAGTATGAACTATGTATGTGTATTAGGTGTTTACAAATTTGTGCAGTTAATCCTTCTCATGAATACTAAGGTGAATAAATGTTCTCAAGTTGGCTTAATGGGTGTGTCCTAAAATACTGCTCCTTCAGCTTTCACAGTACCTTGGGGCAATTACTTGTCAGTCAGTGTGCCAAATAGATTTTGTGTGGATTATGGCATGGAAAGTGGTTGAGAAATTCTGTAGTAGGGTAACAAAATTATCCTTGCCCAAGAGTTCTGCAATGGAGAAGACAAAACTCAGTGCTTAACTCATAGGTTAAGCATGGTTTTCGTTTTTGTTTTTGTTTTTTTTTCTTTGAGACAGAGTCTCACTTTGTCACCCAGGCTGGAGTGCAGTGGCATGATTTCAGCTCACTGAAACATTTGCCTCCCGGGTTCAAGCAATTCTCCTGCCTCATTCTCCTGAGTAGCTGGGATTACAGGTGCATGCCACCATGCCTGACTAAATTTTGTATTTTTAGTAGAGATGGGGTTTTGCCACGTTGGCCAGGCTGGTCTCGGACCCCTGTCCTCAAGTGATCCGCCCACTTCGGCCTCCCAAAGTGTTAGGATTACAGGCGTGAGCCACCGTGCCCAACCTAGTTTATTAGAGCTCTAAGTGTACCTTTATTTCCCATCTTTTTGTTTGCCATTGTGCATTGTCAGAGTAAGTGACCACAATTTGTAGATCATCCATTACCTTAGGAACTTATGTTGCCAAGAACTAATAAATGGCCATTTAGTATGAAGTTTTGTATTGTCAGGAAATAAGTGTTGGGAATCAAGTATGAATTATGTATGTGTATTAGGTGTTTACAAATTTGTGCAGTTAATCCTTCTCATGAATACTAAGGTGAATAAATGTTCTCAAGTTGGCTTAATGGGTGTGTCCTAAAATACTGCTCCTTCAGCTTTCACAGTACCTTGGGGCAATTACTTGTCAGTCAGTGTGCCAAATAGATTTTGTGTGGATTATGGCATGGAAAGTGGTTGAGAAATTCTGTAGTAGGGTAACAAAATTATCCTTGTCCAAGAGTTCTGCAATGGAGAAGACAAAACTCAGTGCTTAACTCATAGGTTAAGCATGGTTTTCGTTTTTGTTTTTGTTTTTTTTTCTTTGAGACAGAGTCTCACTTTGTCACCCAGGCTGGAGTGCAGTGGCATGATTTCAGCTCACTGAAACATTTGCCTCCCGGGTTCAAGCAATTCTCCTGCCTCATTCTCCTGAGTAGCTGGGATTACAGGTGCATGCCACCATGCCTGGCCAATTTTTGTATTTTTAGAAGAAATGGGATTTCACCATGTTGGCCAGGCTGGTCTCAAACTCCTGACCTTGTGATCCACCCACTTCAGCCTCCCGAAGTGCTGGGATTACAGGTGTGAACCACCACACCTTGCCCTCAGCATGCTTTTGATTTAGCTGAAGAATCAAAGCATTGGTGAAGAATTGAAGATTGGAAGTTACACATTTCTTGCTAAGGGAAGTAATAGAGAAAGAAAAATATTCCTGAAGGTAGATCTTCAGTTTGCATTAGTCTGAAGATGATGAAACCTGTAGAAAACTTCATTTCTGAAGAGAAAGCTCAAATTCAAGGTTGTGAGGAGTGCAGTCACCATTTTTGTTAGGGGCAGTTGTGACAGTTATTGCAGAAAGTGAGAATGCGAAACCTGTATTATATAAAGAATGTGCAAGTGTTGTAGAAGACACTGCAAGGATTGGGTGCTGGAGCAGTGCTGGACCTGCCATCGTCACCAGAGTACAGCAGGTGTCACCAGAAGGAGAATCTCCACTCTTGCCATCATTGACAGCCCTTGACTTTGTCCCACTCATAAAAGATCTTGGAAGGAATTAAAGGTGCTTGGTGGTTCCTAATTTTAACATAACCTTACTTGGCCTGACCGTGGACCATGCATTAGTGTTTGGACAGGACAATTAAAATCACAGAGCACATGACAAAAGAATTTTGTGGCCATCAGAATTGTCTCCTTAAACACACCATGGGTGCACTGTGTCCTCAGCTTGGTGAAAGGTAGAAGTTACACGTGAGAAGGCGGTGGAGCCAGGCACATGATGGAGCCTCGAAGAGTGGAAGGTGGCACCTGGCTCTGTGAGGAGGGTGTGAAGTCCTCCATGGGAGGAAGAGATGCCAGCAAAGGAGGTGAGGATGGGCAGAAGAGGAGGCTGAGCAGCAAGTGAATAGAAGCGCTCGACCTCAGAAGAGGAGAGTCCCATGTCTTTATTGGTAGTATTCTAATGTGGTTCATACTGGAGTTATTTTCTGTGGCTGAATGGTTCAACTACTGTGAAATCCAATGCGGGGGTGGGGAACAACTCCTACTAACCCTTTGAGATGCTGAGTTTTCTTTTAAAGTAAAGGAAATATTACAAGATTTTCTGAAACTGCCAACCTTTAGCAATATTTTCAGACATTCTCCAACATTTTCCTTTGTCGGCAATCAGAGATGACCTTTGTCAGCAATCAGAGATGACCTCCACACTGAGGCGAATGTTCCACTCCCCTTACCCTTTTCCTTTTGTCTCTCTTTCCCTCCTCTCTTCATCCAGTAACTCCAGTTAGCCTCCATTGTCTCCAAGCCGGCTTTTGTCCTCATCCACAACGCCTCCACACAAGCTCTGAACACCTGTCCATGTAAGTGACATCCTGTATGCCTTTATTTTTATTTTATTTTATTTTATTTTTGAGACAGAGTCTTGCTCTGTTGCCCAGGCTGGAGTGCAGTGGCATGATCTCGGCTTTCTGCAACTTCTGCCTCCCAGGTTCAAGGGATTCTCATGCCTCAGCCTCACAAGTAGCTAGGACTACAGGTATGCACCACCACGCACACCTAATTTTTGTAGTTTTTGGTAGAGATGGGGTTTCACCATGTTGGCCAGGCTGGTCTTGAACTCCTGACCGCAGGTAACCCACCCACCTCAGCCTCCCAAAGTGCTGGGATTACAGGTGTGAGCTACGGTGCCTGGCACATGATTTGCTATTTATAAGAACATGAGCTTACTACTTGTGTAAAATTTATCCCTGTATTTTAGTTGGAAGTTAATGAGGTGGTTTGAGGTTTGGTGACTACATCTGGCCTCTCAGGGAAATGGCCAAGTTGTTCAGATGTTCAACTGTATTATATGAAGTTGTTTGTCAGCTTCATTGCTTACTACTGTGAAATAAGTTATAAAGGGAAATTTTTTTATAAAAAGAAATAGATTCAGGCTGAGCGTGGTAGCTCATGCCTATAATCCTAGCACTTTGGGAGGCCAAAGTAGGTGGATTACCTGAGCTCAGGAGTTTGAGACAACCCTCAGCAACATGGTGAAGCCCCATCTCTACTAAAATACAAAAAAAAAAAAAAAATCTGGGAATGGTGAATGGTGGTGGGTGCCTATAGTCCCAGCTACTGAGGAGGCTAAGGCACGAGAATTGCTTGATCCTGGGAGGTGGAGGTTGCAGTGAGCTAACATTGTGCCACTGCCAGCCTGGGTAACAGAGCAAGACTGTCTCAAAAAAAAAAAAAAAAAAAAGAGAAATAGATTTACTCAGGGGAGAGGATCCATTATTAGTAAAACATATCTAGTACCACATGCTTTTTGGTCTCCTAATGACCTATCAAACTACAGCGTTTTTGGCTTTTTAATATATTCAGTTCCACATTTATTCATTCAAGAATTGAAGACATTTTACATCCGCATTATATGCCAAGTACTGGGTGGGGACAATAGGTGACAGAGATGAACAAATCCCTGATCCCAGGATTTCACAGTGGATTTTGGAATTTAGTGCCATTTAGCTTCATTCGATTCTGCAGTAGTCCCAAGATTTTCCAAGATCATCCTGTCCTCCAGTGTCTGGTTGATTCAACTTCAGAATATATCCGAGTCTGTCCTTCACTCCTCACTGCTGCCACCCTGGAACCATCTGCCATCGTCTCTCACCTGGATTATCTCCATAGTCTCCTAACTGGTTTCCTTGTTTCCATGCTTGCCTCTTTCAGTCTACTCTCTCTCTCTCTCTTTTTTTTTGAGACAGTCTTGCTTTGTCGCCAAGGCTGGAGTGCAATGTTGTGATCTTGGCTCACTGCAACCTCCACCTCCTTGGTTCAAGTGATTCTCCTGCCTCAGTCTCCCTAAGGCAGGCCTCTTAAGTGTTGGGATTACAGGCATGAGCCACCACTCCCTCCCAGTCTACTCTCAGTACAACAGTTAGAACAATCCTTTTACAGTGTAATTCAGATCATGTTTACCCCTCTGTTCAAATTCTCCAGCGGCTTTGTTTTCTACATGATCTGGTCCCCTACTACCTGTCTCACTGTGCTTCCTGCTACTCTCCTGCTCTTACTCCTCTTTATAAACACTGAGCTCATGGTGTTTCCTTTAACATGCCAGGCATGCTTGACCTTGTCCTGTCTCTGGACCTTGCTGTTCCCTCTGCCTGGAACATTCTTCACCTAATGTCTTCATGGCTAACTCTCACTGCTTTGGATTTTGGCTGAAAAGTCAGCTTATCAAGGGCCTCCAGGCTGCTCTGCATAAAATATATCCTCGACTCATATTTCCTATTTGATACCTGACTCCTCTTCCTCTTTCACTAAAATGTAAGCTCTATGAGGGAAGGGATTTTTGTCTGTTTTGCTCTGTTGTATACCTAAATACCTAGAAGGTGCTCAGTAAATATTTTTTGGTTGAATGACTAAATCAGTCTGTTATTGAATCAGTCAATGTCCTCTGTAGCAGGGACTTCTCATACCAGTAGTCCATATCTGTATGATAGCTGGTGTAGGGAGGGACATGGTCAGAATGGCTCTGTGTGGAATAGTTTTGCTTAGCATAATCCCAGCAGGCTCCTATTGGGGTTAAGCCACAGTTTTAGCCTTACTAGTATCACTTTTTTTTTTTTTTTTGAGGTGGAGATTTGTTCTTGTTGCTCAGGCTGGAGTGCAATGGTGCAATCTTCGCTAACCAAAAAATCTGCCTCCCAGATTCAAGCAGTTCTCGCTGAGCCTCCAGAGTAGCTGGGATTACAGGCATGCATCACCACACCTGGCTAATTCTGTAAAAATAGTAGAGACAGGGTTTCTTCGTGTTTGTCAGGCTGGTCTCAAACTCCCCACCTCAGGTGATCTGCTCACCTCAGCCTCCCAAAGTACTGGGATTACAGGCGTGAGCCACTGCACCCAGCGAGTATCACTCTTTAATCATAAAGTCAGAGGATGTTAAGATTGGAAGGGATCTGGGAGACTATTTGGTTCACTTTTCTCATGGATGAGAGAATAACAGAGCATTGAAAAGTAAGGTAATTTACTCACAATCATAAAGCTATATGGGTCAATCTGAAATTAGGCTTCTTACATCAGATTCTGTAGTCTTTCCTACATGTGTTCTCCCCAGACTAAGACAGTTCATGGGCCTTCAGGTTTGACAATTTTCTCTCCAGTCTCTAAACAGGAGCTTTTATCTGGACATTCTAGGTTAGCATAGATGGACAATGACCCTGCAATGTGTAGCAAATCCCAAAGGTTGACCACTGTCAATGGGAACCACCCCAGATGTGTCAGGAGCACCACAGGCATGCTCACTCTTCCATTCACTGGAGCTGTGTAGGGTGGAAAGGAAACCCAAATCAAGACCCTCTGCTGCTTTAGTTATTTTATTTCATGTCACAATCCAATGTGTCTCCATTTAAATTCAGATTTTTTGATAGATGGTCAGACCAGCTATAGGCCCTTTGGGCCATAAGTCTTGATCTTTTTTTTAATTTTATTATTATTATACTTTAAGTTTTAGGGTACATGTGCACAACGTGCAGGTTCGTTACATATGTATACATGTGCCATATTGGTGTGCTGCAACCATTAACTCGTCATGTAGCATTAGGTATATCTCCTAATGCTATCCCTCCCCCCTCCCCTCACCCCACAACAGTCCCCGGTGTGTGATGTTCCCCTTCCTGTGTCCATGTGTTCTCATTGTTCAATTCCCACCTACGAGTGAGAACATGCAGTGTTTGGTTTTTTGTCCTTGCGATAGCTTACTGAGAATGATGATTTCCAATTTCATCCATGTCCCTACAAACAACATGAACTCATCATTTTTTATGGCTGCATAGTATTCCATGGTGTGTATGTGCCACATTTTCTTAATCCAGTCTATCATTGTTGGACATTTGGGTTGGTTCCAAGTCTTTGCTATTGTGAATAGTGCCGCAATAAACATAAGTGTGCATGTGTCTTTATAGCAGCATGATTTATAATCCTTTGGGTATATACCCAGTAATGGGATGGCTGGGTCAAATGGTATTTCTAGTTCTAGGTCCCTGAGGAATCTCCACACTGACTTCCACAATGGTTGAACTAGTTTACAGTCCCACCAACAGTGTAAAAGTGTTCCTATTTCTCCACATCCTCTCCAGCACCTGTTGTTTCCTGACTTTTTAATGATCTCCATTCTAACTGGTGTCAGGTGGTATCTCGTGGTTTTGATTTGCATTTCTCTGATGGCCAGTGACGATGAGCATTTTTTCATGTGTTTTTCCGCTGCATAAATGTCTTCTTTTGAGAAGTGTCTGTTCATGTCCTTCGTCCACTTTTTGATGGGGTTGTTTGTTTTTTTCTTGTAAATTTGTTTGAGTTCATTGTAGATTCTGGATATTAGCCCTTTGTCAGATGAGTAGGTTGCAAAAATATTCTCCCATTCTGTAGGTTTCCTGTTCACTCTGATGGTAGTTTCTTTTGCTGTGCAGAAGCTCTTTAGTTTAATTAGATCGCATTTCTCAATTTTGGGTTTTGTTGCCATTGCTTTTGGTGTTTTAGACATGAAGTCCTTGCCCATGCCTGTGTCCTGAATGATATTGCCTAGGTTTTCTTCTAGGGTTTTTATGGTTTTAGGTCTAACATGTAAGTCTTTAATCCATCTTGAATTAATTTTTGTATAAGGTGTAAGGAAGGGATCCAGTTTCAGCTTTCTACATATGGCTAGCTAGTTTTCCCAGCACCATTTATTAAATAGGGAATTGTTTCCCCATTTCTTGTTTTTGTCAGGTTTGTCAACGATCAGATAGTTGTAGATATGCGGCATTATTTCTGAGGGCTCCGTTGTGTTCCATTGGTCTATATCTCTGTTTTGGTACCAGCACCATGCCGTTTTGGTTACTGTAGCCTTGTAGTATAGTTTGAAGTCAGGTAGTGTGGTGCCTCCAGCTTTGTTCTTTTGGCTTACGATGGACTTGGCAATGCAGCCTCTTTTTTGGTTCCATATGAACTTTAAAGTAGTTTTTTCCAATTCTGTGAAGAAAGTCATTGCTAGATTGATGGGGATGGCACTGAATCTATAAATTACCTTGGGCAGTATGGCCATTTTCATGATATTGATTCCTCCTATCCATGAGCATGGAATGTTCTTCCTTTTGTTTGTGTCCTCTTCTATTTCATTGAGCAGTGGTTTGTAGTTCTCCTTGAAGAGGTCCTTCACATCCCTTGTAAGTTGGATTCCTAGGTATTTTATTCTCTTTGAAGCAATTGTGAATGGGAGTTCACTCATGATTTGGCTCTCTGTCTGTTACTGGTGTATAAGAATGCTTGTGATTTTTGCACATTGATTTTATATACTGAGACTTTGCTGAAGTTGCTTATCAGCTTAAGGAGATTTTGGGCTAAGACAATGCGGTTTTCTAGATATACAGTCATGTCATCTGTGAACAGGGACAATTTGACTTCCTCTTTTCCTAGTTGAATACCCTTTACTTCTTTCTCCTGTCTGATTGTCCTGGCCAGAACTTCCAACACTATGTTGAATAGGAGTGGTGAGAGAGGGCATCCCTGTCTTGTGCCCGTTTTCAAAGAGAATGCTTCCAGTTTTTGCCCGTTCAGTATGATATTGGCTGTGGGTTTGTCATAGATAGCTCTTATTATTTTGAGATATGTCCCATCAATTCCTAATTTATTGAGAGTTTATAGCATGAAGAGTTGTTGAATTCTGACAAAGGCCTTTTCTGCATCTATTGAGATAATCATGTGGTTTTTGTCTTTGGTTCTGTTTATATGCTGGATTACATTTATTGATTTGCATATGTTGAAACAGCCTTGCATCCCAGGGATGACGCCCACTTGATCATGGTGGATAAGCTCTTTGATGTGCTGCTGGATTCGGTGTGCCAGCATTTTATTGAGGATTTTTGCAACGATGTTCATCAGGGATATTGGTCTAATATTCTCTTTTTTTGTGGCATCTCTGCCAGGCTTTGGTATCAGGATGATGCTGGCCTCATAAAATGAGTTAGGGAGGGTTCCCTTTTTTTTGTGTTGATTGGAATAGTTTCAGAAGGAATGGTACCAGCTCCTCCTTATACCTCTGGTAGAATTCTGCTGTGAATCTGTCTGGTCCTGAACTTTTTTTGGTTGATAGGCAATTAATTATTGCTTCAATTTCAGAGTTTTTGTTATTGGTCTATTCAGAGATTCAACTTCTTCCTGGTTTAGTCTTGGGAGGGTGTATGTGTCCAGGAATTTATCCATTTCTTCTAGATTTTCTAGTTTATTTGCATAGAGGTGTTTATAGTATTCTCTGATGGTAGTTTGTATTTCTCTGGGATCAGTTATGATATCCCGTTTACCATGTTTTATTGCATCTATTTGATTCTTCTTTCTTTTCTTCTTTATTAGTCTTGCTAGTGGTCTATCAATTTTGTTGATCTTTTCAAAAAACCAGCTCCTGGATTCATTGATTTTTTGAAGGGTTTTTTGTGTCTCTACATTCTTCAGTTCTGCTCTGATCTTTGTTGTTTCTTGCCTTCTGCTAGCTTTTGAATGTGTTTGCTCTTGCTTCTCTATTTCTTTTCATTGTGATGTTAGGGTGTCCATTTTTGATATTTCCTGCTTTCCTTTGTGGGCATTTAGCACTATAAATTTCCCTCTACACACTGCTTTAAATGTGTCCCAGAGATTCTGGTATGTTGTGTCTTTGTTCTCAGTGGTTTCAAAGAACATATTTATTTCCGCCTTCATTTCATTATGTACCCAGTAGTCATTCAGGAGCAGGTTGTTCAGTTTCCATGTAGTTGAGAGCTTTTGAGTGAGTTTCTTAATCCTGAGTTCTAATTTGATTGCACTGTGGTCTGAGAGACAGTTTGTTATAATTTCTATTCTTTTACATTTGCTGAGGAGTGCTTTGCTTCCAACTATGTGGTCAATTTTGGAATAAGTGCGATGTGGTGCTGAGAAGAATGTATATTCTGTTGATTTGGGGTGGAGAGTTCTGTAGATGTTTATTAGGTCTGCTTGGTGCAGAGGTGAGTTCAATTCCTGGATATCCTTGTTAACTTTCAGTCTCATTGATCTGTCTAATGTTGACAGTGGGTTGTCAAAGTCTCCCATTATTATTGTGTTGGAGTCTAAGTCTCTTTGTAGGTCTCCAAGCACTTGCATTATGAATCTGGGTGCTCTTGTATTGGGTGCATATACAGTTAGGATAGTTAGCCCTTCTTATTGAATTGATCCCTTTACCATTATGTAATGGCCTTCTTTGTCTCTTTTGATCTTTGTTGGTTTAAAATCCGTTTTATCAGAGACTAGGATTGCAACGCCTGCTTTTGTTTGTTTTCCAATTTCTTGGTAGATCTTCCTCCATGCCTTTATTTTGAGCCTATGTGTGTCTCTGCTCGTGAGATGGGTCTCCTGAATAGAGCGGACTGATGGGTCTTGACTCTTTATCCAATTTGCCAGTCTGTGTCTTTTAATTGGAGCATTTAGCCCATTTACATTTAATGTTAATATCATTATGTGTGAATTTGATCCCGTCATTATGATGTTAACTGGTTATTTTGCTCGTTAGTTGATGCAGTTTCTTCCTAGCATCGATGCGCTTTCCAATTTTGCATGTTTTTGCAGTGGCTGGTACCGGTTGTTCCTTTCCATATTTAGTGCTTCCTTCGGGAGCTCTTGCAGGGCCGGCCTGGTGGTGACAAAATCTCTCAGCCTTTGCTTGTCTGTAAAGTATTTTATTTCTCCTTCACTTATGAAGCTTAGTTTGGCTGGACATGAAATTCTGGGTTGAAAATTCTTTTCTTCAAGAAGGTTGAATATTGGCCCCCACTCTCTTCTGGCTTGTAGAGTTTCTGCTGAGAGATCAGCTGTTAGTCTGATGGGCTTCCCTTTGTAGGTAACCCGACCTTTCTCTCTGGCTGCCCTTAACATTTTTTCCTTCATTTCAACTTTGGTGAATCTGACAATTATGTGTCTTGGAGTTGCTCTTCTCGAGGAGTATCTTTGTGGTGTTCTCTGTATTTCCTGAATTTGAATGTCGCCCTGCCTTGCTAGGTTGGGGAAGTTCTCCTGGATAATATCCTGCAGAGTGTTTTCCAACTTGGTTCTATTCTCCCCATCACTTTCAGGTACACCAGTCAGACGTAGATTTGGTCTTTTCACATACTCCCATATTTCTGGGAGGCTTCATGTATTTCTTTTTACTCTTTTTTCTCTAAACTTCTCTTATCACCTCATTTCATACATTTGATCTTCTGTCACTGATATCCTTTCTTCCAGTTGATCTAATCAGCTGCTGAAGCTTGTGCATTCATCATGTAGTTCTCGTTCCATGGTTTTCAGCTCCATCAGGTCCATCGGTGTAGAGAATTTAAGGACTTGTCTACACTTGTTATTCTAGTTACCCATTCGTCTAATCTTTTTTAAGGTTTTTAGCTTCTTTGTGATGGGTTTGAACTTCCTCCTTTAGCTCGGAGAAGTTTGATCATCTGATGCTGTCTTCTCTCAACTCGTCATTCTCTGTCCAGCTTTTTTCCATTGCTGGTGAGGAGCTGCGTTCCTTTGTAGGGGGAGAGGCACTCCAATTTTTAGAATTTTCAGCCTTTCTGCTGTGTTTTTTCCCCATCTTTGTGGTTTTATCTACCTTTGATCTTTGAGGATGGTGACGTACACATGGGTTTTGGTGTGAATGTCTTTTCTGTTTGTTAGTTTTCCTTCCAACAGTCAGTACACTCACCTGCAGGTCTGTTGGAGTTTGCTGAACGTCCCCTCCAGACCCTGTTTGCCTGTGTATCGGCAGTGGAGGCTGCAGAACAGCGAATATTGCTGAACAGCAAATGTCACTGCCTGATTGTTCCTCTGGAAGTTTCGTCTCAGGGGTACCTGATCATATGAAGTGTCAGTCAGCCCCTACTGCAGGGTGCCTCCCAATTAGGCTACTCAGGATTCAGGGACCCACTTGAGGAGGGAGTCTGTCCATTCTCAGATCTCAAACTCCATGCTGGGAGAACCATTTCTCTCTTCAAAGCTGTCAGACAGGGACATTTAAGTCTGCAGAGGTTTCTGCTGCCTTTTGTTCAGCTATGCCTTGCCCCCAGAGGTGGAGTCTAGAGAGGCAGGCAGGCCTTGAGCTGCGGTGGACTGCACCCAGATTGAGCTTCCCGGTCACTTTGTTTACCTACTTAAGCCTCAGCAATGGCGGGTGCCCCTCTCCCAGCCTCACTGCTGCCTTGCAGTTCGATCTCAGACTGCTGTGCTAGCTATGAGTGAGGCTCCGTGGGCTTGGGACCCTCCGAGACAGGCACGGGATATAATCTCCTGGTGTGCTGTTTGCTAAGACGATTGGAAAAGCGCAGTATTAGGGTTGGAGTGACCTGATTTTCCAGGTGCTGTCACATCTTTGCTTGGCTAGGAAAGGGAATTCCCTGACCCCTTTCACTTCCTGGGTGAGGCAATGCCCCACCCTGCTTCGGCTCACGCTTGATGCGCTGCACCCGCTGTCCTGCACCCACTGTCTGACAAGCCCCAGTGAGATGAACCCTGTACCTCAGTTGGAAATGGAGAAATCACCCATCTTCTGTGTCACTCATGCTGGGAGCTGTAGACTGGAGCTGTTCCTGTTCAGCCATCTTGGAACCGCTGCCCACATTATTTTTGTTTTGTTTTGTTTTCTTTTGAGTTGGAGTCTCACTCTGTCACCCAGGCTGGAGTGCAGTGTCATGATCTTGGCTCACTGCAAGCTCCGCCTCCTGGGTTCATACCATTCTCCTCCCTCAGCCTCGCAAGCAGCTGGGACTATAGGCACCTGCCAACACGCCTGGCTAATTTTTTGTATTTTTAGTAGAGATGGCATTACACTGTGTTAGCCAGGATGGTCTCGATCTCCTGACCTTGTGATCCACCCGCCTCGGCCTCCCAAAGTGCTGGGATTACAGGCGTGAGCCACCACACCTGGCCAATGAAACATTATTATTGGAATAATATAGTTCATAGGTTTTAATGATAAACTTGGGGGATGTGTTAGTTGCCTTCAGATTCAGGTGAGTAGAACACATACATGGAAACAAAAATTGAAGTTTGAAATGAGGCAGAAATGTATATCTTCTTTACATCAAAGAATTCTGGATGTTGGTAGTCCAATATGGAGGTAATAATTCCCTACTCACCAAGGACCCAAACTCTCCGTATCTTTACACTCTACAATACTATTATATGTCTTCAATTCTTAACATTGCTTCATGTTCCAAAATGGCTGCCGAATCTACAGCCTTTATGTCTGCTTTGCAGGCAGGAAGAAGGGGAAAAACAAAAGGAAACACCTCTTAGCTGAGTCAGCATTACTTGTAGAACCTTTCTAGAAGAAACACCCTAATAGCTAGATACATGGAGCATGGAAAATACAGTCTTTTACCTAGACAACCTAACCAAAATATTGGTGGGAATTACATCCTAACCAAAATGTTGGTTCAGGAATATGGCTATTAATTAAGCAGCTTCAGTGTCTGTCAAAGGAGTAAAGTAGTATTTTTGTGAAGCCAGAGAGGATACACTTTGAAGTCGGCCTCTTTCAATCATTGTCTTTTCCTTACATAAATACTTTCTTAATGCAAACACTTATTTGGTTCTTTTTATTTTATGATAAAATCATCCCGTGAACAAGTAATATGTCATGCAAGATGACATATTGCTGGCTTCTGATAAAATGGTAGTGCTACCCTCAACATGGGTAGTGAGATTGAATGGACACTGGGAAGGCTCATCAGACCAAAACCACTCATAATGTATTGCCTAAAGTGTCCATCATAAAAGTTATTGCTTCTGCATGAAGATGATGTGCTTTTAAAACAATCTCACTTAAAGTGAGTATGTGTTAACCATTATGCCATTCAATTCCATTAATCCATTTCTCTGTATTTATCAAATATCATCATGGAAAATATAGAGCGAGGCTCTGAGGGAATAGAAACGGGTTAGGTACATTTCCAAGAGGTAGATGAGAGAGAAGTTGAAAGCAGGGTGTGAAAATG
Organism: Homo sapiens; assembly: GCF_000001405.40. Lineage (NCBI taxonomy): Eukaryota > Metazoa > Chordata > Mammalia > Primates > Hominidae > Homo > Homo sapiens. The sequence continues at coordinate 50,331,637 of NC_000011.10, forward strand.
AGGGTGAATTTGGGAGAATCCACCTACCGAGACAGAGTATGTAATAATAATTTCATTTCTGAATAAATGAATGAAATAAAAATACATGCACAGAATAACTTCTCAATAAACTTTTCTGGTCGACTACCAGATAAATGCATGAAGAGACAGATGAATGTATGAATAAATCCTCAAAGGTGAATTTTATCAATGAGGATTCTTTGATTTCTTCATGCCACTATCCCTGCTGGTATGTGTGCTTCGTATAGCCATCATTGAGAGTTGTTGATTATGTTAAATATTAGAGTAACAAATACAAAAAGAACACTCAGAACCATAGATCACATCCCAAACTAAGGGATGGAAGCACTAATGAGGCTGGCCAGAGAAGTAAGCATTGGGTTATTACTATCAGCTTTAACATGTACTTCTTTCATCCAGCACTGAAACAGAGAGACACTCAAAATACAAACACTGAGCATAAGACTAACAGACAAAGACTTTCCTCTCTTGACTATGATCAAATGGGTGTATTCAACTTAACTATGCACTATATCATAACTTTGAGTAGGACTTCCTTTTCTGGTGTGGAGGCTGTGTGCAATAATAGTTAAATACGTAAGTTATGGTTTCAGGAAAATTTGAATTCAAATGCTGCATCTCCACTTACTGGTTGCACAGCCTTGAGCAAATTACTTAACTGTTTCACATCAAAGCTCCCCCATCTTTAAAATGGGAGGAATGCTATTGCCTACCTTGTAAGTAATTGTGAGGATTAGTTGAGGACTCAATGATATCAGCCACAGTTACTAGTCATTATGTGTGGGGATCATGAGCGACTGTATAAGCCAGAGTTCTTCTGAGAAACAGAACCATTAGGAGACATATATGAGAGAGAGATTTATTTCAAGGAATTAGCTTATGCAACCGTGGGAGCTAACCAGTCTACATCTGTAGGGCAAGCTGGCAGGCTGGAAATTCGGTTGTGTTGGTGTTGCAGTCTTGAGTTGGTAGGCTGGGAACTCGGGCAGGGTTTGTATGTTGCAGTCGTGAGTCAGAATTGCTGCTTTCTTGGGAAATCTCAGTCTTGGCTCTGAAAGCCTTCAACTGATTGAATGAGGCCTACCCACATTATGGACACAAATATGCTCTACTTAAAGTCAACTGATTTAAATGTTAATCACATCTAAAAATATTTTCATAGTAACATATACACTGGCATTTGATGAAACAACTAGGTGCCATAGCCTCACCAAGTTGACACATAAAATTAACTATCACAGGGGCACAATAAATGTGCCCATCCACACCGACATTCTTCGCACAGAAACAAGACACAAAAGTTGCAGATTGGAAAGTGCAACTCTAACCTGTATGACAGATAAAGACTAGAATGGAAGCTGTGGTTTGTATTTGCAGGATTCAACGGTTTCAGGTACTCCCACCCTCAACCCTCTGGCAGGTAGATTAACACAACCAACTCAGGCAGTTGTGCCACATAAGACTTACAGCATGGAGAAGCTGGCAAGAACTCACATTTCTACTGATGAGTTAACATCTGAGAGGACAAAAAGGAAGAGCTAGTTTTTTTTTTTTCTGAAATTTTCCAACCAGATAATTCCCTCCTCCTTGCTAAGGTAGAGAAAGTGATGCCACAGGTGAAGCCCCAGTGTTTCTGTCAATTGCACCCTTTCACAGAAAGGAGCTATCGTGAGTCAAGAAGAAACATTTCCCTCAGTATCCTCCTCTCCTCACTACCACCATTGTTTTTATCACCAGCAGGCTGTACTGTTTATATTTCTTGATGGGACCCTCAAAGACTTAGCCTCTGAAATTGAAACTCTGGAGGGTTCTGAGTCTCCCGAAACCTAAGGAAATTTTCCAAGACATATCGAGATAAGTAAAATCCTATATTCAACCAATGGCATATTTCCCCTATCCTAGAAATCACCCTCCTTCCCCTTCCCCCCGAAACTTCAGTTGGGAACCAGCTGGAGTTTATAGCACCAGGCTTAGTGTGGATCTCTTGACACCTCTGAAACAAGTTCCCCATCACATGGGAAAACTGCTCTGCCCTTCCACACCAGGCCTTGGAGCCTCTGCCAGCTTGATGCTGAAGAAGCCTGACATCCCCCAGGTAGGGGACAGCTGAGATCTCTTGGGGTGTCTTGGGACCTGCTTGACTGTCCTTTTGAAGAGCGCACCTTTCCCTCATCTGTAAAGAAGTCTGAGGGCAGAAACCAGATGTGCTGACCTCACCTCTCACCTCTCTCCCCCTGGGCTGGAATCCAGTGTTGCTCACTTCCTATTCACTAGAAGCAGCTTGCCTGGGCAGGACTGGTGTTATACTTTGTTTCAGTCAGCACAGGAAAGTGCAGAGTTGCCTGCAAAAGGCAGATGAAAACTTAAAGTGATCTTTGGCCAGCAGATTCATTTAAAATGCAAATCCACTCAGCAGTGTAGGAACAGTATGGCACAGCCCCCATGTGGTAGATTAGAATGCAGGCTTTCACCACAGCTCTTTGTTCCAAAGCCAGCAGAAACTGGCTAGGCTTGGCATTTATCCTTTTGCACTAAAGCGCGTTGGGGAAATCCCTGAACGAGTCCCTAAAATTCCCGGTGATTGGGGAAGCTTGAAGTAGTCTATTTGCACCCAGCCCTACCTGATTTGAAGAGCTGTATGGAACCAGGAACCAGGAAGAGAATGTGAGCTTTTGAGCCAGTACCCCAACTTACCAGCCCTGAAATCTTCAGCTAATTATTTTATCTCTCTGAGAAACATATTAACCTCTCTAGGCCACATCTTGAGGGGACTCTAAAGCTGACATTTGGGAGTTAACGTTTCCCCTGCTAGGAGAAAATACACATATATTAGTCCATTTTCACGTTGCTGATAAAGATATACCTGAGACTGAGAAGAAAAAGAGGTTTAATTGGACTTACAGTTCCACATGGCTGGGAAGGCCTCAGAATCATGGCAGGAAGTGAAAGGCACTTCTTCCATGGTGGCACCAAGAGAGAATGAGGAAGAAGCAAAAGTGGAAACTCCTGATAAACCTATCAGATCTCATGAGACTTATTCACTATCATGAGATTAGCACGGGAAAGACCGGCCCTCATAATTAAGTTATCTCCCCCTAGGTCCCTCCCACAACATTTGAGAATTCTGGGAGATACAATTCAAGTTGAGATTTGAATGGGGACACAGTCAAACTGTATCACTCCACCCCTGGCCCCTCCAAATCTCATGTCCTCACATTTAAAGAGGAATCATGCCTTCCCAACAGTCCCCCAAAGTCTTAACTCATTTCAGCATTAACCCAAAAGTCCACAGTCCAAAGTCTCATCTAAGTCAATGCAAGTCTCTTCCTCCTATGAGCCTGTACAATCAAAAGCAAGCTAGTTACTTCCTAGATGCAATGGGGGTACAAGTATTGGGTAAATACAGCCATTCCAAATGAGAGAAAATTGCCAAAACAAAGAGGTTACAGGGCCCCTGCAAGTCCAAAATCAAGTGAGGTGGTCAAATTTTAAAGCTCCAAAATCATCATCTTTGACTCCGGATCTCACATCCAGGTCATGCTGATGCAAGAGGTGGGTTCCCATGTTCTTCATCAGCTCTGCCCTTGTGGCTTTGCAGGATACAGCTTCCCTACTGGCTGCTTTCACAGTCTGGCCTTGAGCATCTGCGGCTTTTCCAGGCGCACATTGCAAGCTGTTAGTGGATCTACCATTCTGGTGTCTGGAGGACAGTGGCCCTCTTCTCACAGCTCCACTAGGCAGTGCCCCAGTAGGGACTCTGTGTGGGGGATCCAACCCCACATTTCCCTTCCACATTGCCCTAGCAGAGGTTCTCCATGAGGGCCCCACCCCTACAGAAAACTTTTGCCTGGGCATACAGGCATTTCCATACATCTTCTGAAATCTATGCGGAGGTTCCCAAATCTCAATTCTTGACTTCTGTGCACCCACAGGCCCAACACCATATGGAAGCTGCCAAGGCTTGGGGATTCCCCCCTCTGAAGCCACAACCCGAGATGTACACTGGCCCCTTTCAGCCATGGCTGGAGCAGCTGAGACACAGGGTACCAACTCCCTAGGCTGCACACAGCACGGGGACCCTCGGCCCGACCCATGAAGCCAGTTTTTCCTCATGGGCCTCTGGACCTGTGATGGGAGCAGCTGCCATGAAGGTCTCTGACATGGCCTGGATACATTTTCCCCATGGTCTTGGGGATTAACATTAGGCTCAATGCTACTTATGCACATTTCTATAATTGGCTTGAACTTCTCCCCCCAAAAATGGATTTTTCTTTTCTGTCACATAGGCTGCAAATTTTTCAAACTTTTATGCTCTGCTTCCCTTACAAAACTGAATGCCTTTAAAAGAACCCAAGACACCTCTTGAATGCTTTGCTGTTTAGGAATTTCTTCTGTCAGATACCCTAAATCATCTTTCTCAAGTTCAAAGTTCCACAGATCCTTAGGGCAGGGGCAAAATGCCTTCAGTCCCTTTGCTGAAACATAACAAGTGTCACCTTTACTCCAGTTTCCAACAAGTTTCCTCATCTCCATCTGAGGTCTCCTCAGCTTGGACCTTATTGTCCATATCGCTATCAGCATTTTGGGCAAAGCCATTCAACAAGTCTCTAGGAAGTTCCAAACTTCCCCACATTTTCCTGTCTTCTCCCGAGCTCTCCAAACTGTTCCAGCCTCTGCCTGTTACCCAGTTCTAAAGTCATTTCCACATTTTTGGGTATCTTTTCAGCAACACCACACTCTACTGGTACCAATTTACTGTATTAGTTCATTTTCACGCTGCTAAGAAAAACATACCCAAGACTGGGAAGAAAAAGAGGTTTAATTGGACTTACAGTTCCACATGGCTGGGGAGGCCTCAGAATCATGGTGAGAGGTGAAAGACACTTCTTATAGGGTGGCAGCAAGAGAGAATGAGGAAGAAGCAAAAGCAGAAACTCCTGATAAACCCATCAGATCTCATGAGACTTATTCACTATCACGAGAATAGCATGGGAAAGACCAGCCCCCATGATTCAATTACCTCCTTCTAGGTCTCTCCCACAACACATGAAAATTCTGGGAGATACATTTCAAGTTGAAATTTTTATGGGAACACAGTGAAACCATGTCAACATGGTATAGTGGAAAGAACTAGTTAGGTCTGATATAAATTGAAGATTCACCATGTGTCCACTTGACCTTAGACAATTTCTTAACCTCTCTGGGCCTCACTTTCCCCATCTATAAAAGGCGAACAAGTGGCCAGGTGTGGTGGCTCATGCCTGTAATCCCAGCACTTTGGGAGGCCAAGGCGGGTGGATCACTTGAGGTCAGGAGTTCGAGACCAGCCTGGCCAACATGGGGAAACCCTGTCTCTAGTGAAAATACAAAAAATTAGCCAGGCATGGGTGGCACGCACCTGTAGTCCCAGCTACTTGACAGGCTTAGGCAGGAGAATTGCTTGTACCTGGGAGGCGGAGGTTGCAGTGAGCCGAGATTGTGCCATTGCACTCCAGCCTGGGCGACAAGTAAGGCTCTGTCTCAAAAACCAAAAAAAAAAAAAAAAAAAAAAAAAAAAGCGGGGGGGGGGAGGGCGACAAATAAAACTATCTTGCAGAGTAGTGTCAGGAGAATTAAAATAATAAAGCTCTTGATAGTCTTCCAAAAAGTGTGCTTGCTTGCCCTTTGGTGGTGTTCTTAAAGACTTTCATATTTGGAGAACTGAGATTCAAGTTTCAGGTACAGACAACCACCCTTTTCTGTATTTCTTGATTTTTTTTTTTCTTTTGGCCTCTAATATCTTCCATTTCTCTTATGCTTGTCTGGGATACTCACAAGAGGATCTGTGGCAATAGTAATCTCCTTGATTGCTTGATTCTCTAGGGTCAGTTTGTTCATTGGGTTCTTAGGGAAGGAGTTGAATAGATAAGACAAAATGTTCCCCACATTTTTGCCTAAGCAGCTTGGCACTGATGAGTACTGGCAGCAGCTCCCTGAACTGTGTTATAAATTTCTGACTGCTGCACAAATGTACCACGTGGGACAAAGACAAGCAGAGCTGCCAAATTCTCAGAATAGAGTTCATCCTCATTAGAAAACACCAGGAAGTCCTGTAGTCTGGACAACAGAGAGTCTTATACCTAAGAAGGTTATAAAGTAAAAACATTTTCAGACAGAAACATGCTCCAATAAAATGATAGTAATGTTGGTTAGCAGAGTAGATGAGACTAATGAGATCACTGGGATTAGTATCTTTATAAAAGGGACCCTAGAGAGCTTTTTAGACCTCTTTGGTCTAGAATTGTTAGTGGTATTTTTGAGTTTTTTTAAAAAGAAATGAAAGAATTTGTGTATCTGCATACTAATCCACATGATATTTTTAAAATACTAGTATGCTATATATATCAAGTGCTTAATTTTTGTAAAATGCTTTTCATACAAAACCTCATTGAATCATCATAATGATTTTAAGGCACAGGCATAGTACTGTTCATTTTTAAGGTCAGTAAATTAAGGCACAGAGAAGTTTGATGACTTTCCCAAAGTCTTATAGCTACATGTGAACCCATTTTATAGCCACTACAATGTAGCACCCTCAAAAATCGCAACTACTACTGATAGAGATACAATATTGGGCTTCATACCTACTCTCTGAATTTGTTTAATGTAATTATCTATAAAAACTCAGAAGATGGTGCAATTGACTGAATGTCCTTGTCTCCTCCAAATTCATATGTTGAGACTCTAATCTCCATGAGATGGTATTAGGAGATGGAGCCTTTGGGAGGTGATGAGGTCATGAGGGTGGGAACTTCATGACTGAGATGAGTTCCCTCATAAAAGAGACCCCAGGGAGATTTTTGACCCTTTTTCTGAAATAGAGGAATACAATGAGAAGTTGGCAGTCTGTAACCCGGAAGAGGGCCCTCGCTAGAACTCAATCATGCTGGTACCCTGATCACAGGCTTCCAGCCTCCACAGCTGTGAGAAATTTCTGTCATCTATAACTTAGAGTACTTAGTCAGTTTAGGCTGCTATGCTAATAAAGACAGATGATATTAGTATGCTAAGTTATAGATGAGAGAACTGAGACTCAAATATACAGAGCATTTTCCCAGTACCACACAGAAATCTGGGACTCGAATTCAGGCCAGATGGCAGGCTTCTATATCCACAGAACATCCTGAACTTCACATGGACTTTGCTGCTTCCATGTTCCTCAGACACAGAGTGCTTTTTTATCATAGATAAGGTGTTCACAGGTGACCCAAGGCAATCTCACATATGCAGGAATTACATCCCACCACTCAGTTTCCACAAGGCTGACAAAAGGAATCAGTAGTGCTCACTAAGTATTCATCAGCCTCTGCCTTCTGCACACACAATAGGATCACACCTCCAAGCCCTTAAGGTTGGATGAGGCCATGTGAGTGTTAGTGACCAATGAGCTATGAGCACATGCAACGTGTCACTTTTGGTCTCAACCATTTAATTGCCAATTTGACACCATCCAGAGCTCTTGCCCACAGCATTTGAGATGGCAGCTGCTCCATCAGTCTGGATACCTAAATGACTATCACAGCAATCCTGATGGGTATGTTTCATGAGCAATAATTAAATGTCTGTTATTTAAAGCCATTGTAATTTGGGGACTGTATCCGTCTGTTCTCACACTGCTATAAAGAGACACCTGAGACTGGGTAATTTATAAAGGAAAGAGGTTTAATTGACTCAGAGTTCCACATGGCTGGGGAGGCCTCAGGAAACTAACAGTCGTGGCAGAAGGTGAAGGGGAAGCAAGGACCTTCTTCACATGGTGGCAGGAAAGAGAAGAGCCAGCAAGAGCAGGGAAAATTGCCTTATAAAGCTATCAGATCTCATGAGAACTCATTATCATGAGAACAGCGTGGGGGAAACTGACCCCATGATCCAATCAACCCCCTCCCACGACGTGGGGATTACAGTTCCCTCCCTCAACATGTGGGGATTACAATTCAAGATGAGATTTGGGTGGGGACACAGCCAGACAATATCAAGGGTATTTTTAATATAAACTACAAACAAAACTAGCCTACACTGACTGACACAGAACCAGACCCAAAGGAGCTTTGTAAACCTCCCAAGAGACCCAGCAGGTGTTAGAACTCTCTACACTCAGAATCATAAACTCAAGTGTTACAGGGATCAGGCAAGGCAGGTAACTAAGGAAAGCAGCTGAGCACATGATAGCAGAAAGTGGGAGGGACTAGATCAAACTGGTGAGCACATGCCAAGGAAATGTGGGATCCGTGTTGCTAAATCTTGCAATTTTTCAGAAGAATTTGGATATTTGTGTGACTTTTCCTAATGGATAAAAAACTATGCAGATCAAACAAAACTGAACTGCAGGTTAATTTCATGCCAGGGTTTTCAATTTATATCCCCTGACCCTCTGCCTCAAGCAGGCTCCCATCTATTAGCCATAATTCAAAGATTTAGAGCCAGTCCTGTCAGTTACTTGCTGTGGGACACTGTGGATGTCAGCCTGGTCCTTAGTACTTCCATCTGTAAAATGAGTCCGTGGGAGAAAACAGATGATTCTTTATCTTTCTCGGATAATTCTGCACAATAAAATCTCATATACACATAAACATGCCATCTTATTTACATAATTCATGATTTCCAATGATGGGATAAACCTCAACCCCTGACTACCCCTCCCCACAATAGATCCATGAAATCAAGTCTAAGAAATATGGGCTATATAATGCCAAAGTTTTCATCCATCTGAAAATATCATTTTATCAATGTCAGTTTATCAGGAGGAATGGGATATTTTTCTCCCTGCTGGAGATTCTTAGCATGTCTTCTACTAGAAGAGACATGCTTCTACACGGCTTCTACATCAGAGACATGCTTCTACACGGCTCTGATGTTATAGTTGCTTGTGTTCCGCATAAAAAGGTGGGGCTACAGGTTTTATCATGATGTTTAAAATGGGATGGCACCTCCCACCCTTGTACACTATTGTGCATCATCTAATCAGAGGGAGACCTAATATGTGAGTAGATATGTTGGTTATATTCCTCTGGCTTATGAATTTCTAGGTTCCAATTTAATTCCAGTTTTTCTAATTTAGTTATATTTGGCCTCCTTCAGCTTTGTAATTCAAACCAAATGTATTGCTGCTTTTAAAAACAATCTTTCCAAACTCATATCCAAACTGCCTCTCTCTCAGTGCAGATGATGAGTGGTTTCCACAGAAAGTCTTTAGAATAAATCTCTGTGGTCACATTCTCAGCTTCAGTCTATAACCCTTAAAAATACATCCAGATAGGCCTTCAGAGGGAGCAATTGTAATATTTGTGGGGCCAAGAGCATGAAATCACCCAAGTGAGCATCAAATAAATGAAGCAAAGTTCTACTCCAGCTGGACTCTGATTTTTCTCCCACTTTGATAGCATATGCTGTTAATACTTTCATCAATAGCATGTTTTACAGCCTGTCTTTAATAAGGAGGGTTCCCACTGCATTTATCGGGATCCTGAGTATATGAAACTGGTCCCTGGGAACTCCTTGATGTGTTTGGAATGTGACTGAAATTTTTATTAAACAATCATTCAGTGGTAATAAAATTTACATAAAGGGCAACCCTAACAGGAAATCTTTATATGTAGCAAAGAGGTCTTAATTTGAAACAAACAATAAAGTGCAGAATTCAATTATGTCAGGAAACAGGTCCAAGGTCATAGGATGAATGAGTCATAACCAAAACTTTAAAACTAGAAAGGTAAAACTAAATGGCATTTAAAACCTGTGCTACATTAATTTAAGGTAGCTACCGCAAGATGCAGTCATACCCAAAGGTACATAGAAATTTCTGGAGATAATCTGATTCTTTTTGGCTGTCTGGCCAACTTCATGCAATCCTCCTGTCAAGAATAATTACTGCGTAGTTCCAAATAGCTAAGAAAAAAATAATTTTGAATGTTCTCCACAAAGAAAAAATAAATATTTGAGGTGATGAATATGCTACTTAGGCTACTTTCATCATTCCACAACATACGCATGTATTGAAACATCACATTGTAACCCATAAAGATATATAACTGTTATTTGTCTATTAAAAATAATACCTTCAAAGGAAAAGGAATCTGGGCTGTCTCTTTGCCCATATTCTTGAAAATGTGTGTTCAAGTCAACAAATATGTAATGGGCTAATGGTCCTTTTATTTGCAAGGTACCTTACAAAGCCCTGAAGGACCGCCAAATAAAAAGACTCCTAATTTAAGGCAATAGTTTCCTAAAGTGGATGTGTAGGCTGGTGACATCTGAGTCATCTTGAGAACCCCAAAAGTACGTATTCCTGGGCCCCATTCCAAGCCAACAAAATCAGAATATCTAATGGTAGGATCAAGAATCTGCATTTAAAACATATTCATCAGCTGAAACTGACACAGTATAGGTTTGGTCCTACATATGCCAGAACTTCTCCGTTATAAGTGACAGATATCTAACCCCAGCTGGCTTAAACCAAAAACCTTAGTAACCTTAGTAACTGAGAAGCTCAACGAGAATAGGCTTCAGGCACAACTGGATCCAAAGGCTCAAACAATGACATCAGAGATTAGGTAGCTTCCCTACCTGTGAACTCTGCTTTCTTCTGCATTGGCTTTATTCTTATGCACCACAGAAAGTACAATCATAGCAATAATAGAATTCTTACTATGTTTGAGGCACCACACTTTACCTGTATTGTCACATTTAGTTTTTATGAAGATAATATGAGGTAGGAAGTATTATTTCCACTTCAGCAATGATGAAGCAAGCTCAGAGAGGCAACATGATTTATCCAAAGTTACACCGTGATCAAAAGAGATGGAAAGAATTGTATCCAAGGCCGTTTGCTTGTAGCTCCCACACTCTTGCCCATACTTATGTACTCAGAGGTAAAGTAGGCCAAGGATACATAAAATGCTAAAAGAAAAATGATGTCAGAAGGCAAAAGAAGGGCAAGAGAGTATAATTCAGAGGGCAATCCTTATTTGTGCTTATAGAATGTCCCATATTATCTCTCTGTAAGGCTATAATAGGCCCAGGAATCTGTACTTCGAATGTTTCTTCAGTTGGTCTAACTCACACAAGAACGGTGATTCATCATAGCTCAAGGAGATGTGCTGAAGTGTTTGCATCCATCGACAGCATGCACAGGACTATTGCTGAACTTCATTTTGGTAAAGAAGGTGTGGGGGGATCATCAGCAAAGGGGCAAAGAAAATTGTTCCAGGGCTGCTGGAAGTAGAAGGCTAACAAAATTTTTGTAGTTTCTGGCTGATAGGGGTTGATAAGACACAGACTGATGGTCTCACTATAAAGGGGGTAAAGGGAAGAAGAGTGTAACACACAGAAGCAAGATTTAATAATTAAAAGCATTTAAAGCATGAAGACAGCTGTTTATATGAGGCAAATATTAAAAATGGTTATAGGGGGTTGGGTGCGATGGCTCATACTTGTAATCTCAGCACTTTGGGAGGCTGAGGCGGGCAGATCGCCTGAGGTCAGGAGTTCAAGAACAGCCTGGCCAACGTGGTGAAACCCCATCTCTACTAAAAATACAAAAAGTAGCTGGGCGTGGTGGCACATGCTTGTAATCCTAGCTACTCAAGAGGCTGAGGCAGGAGAATTACTTGAATCTGGGAAGCGGAAGTTGCAGTAAGCCAAAATCACAGCACTGTACTCCAGCTTGGGCAACAGTGCGAGACTCCAGCTCAAAAAAAACAAAAAAATTTTAAAAAAAGTAGTTATAGGGGCCAATGAGTTCCAGATTATTTCTAACTCAGCCTGTCATAAGAAACTGTGGTGGACTGTGGACCCCATAACCCATGACTTCTGGCGTTCCAACTTTGGGTTACTCTGAAATTGGTCATATGATTTGATTTCATCATGAGACACATCAAATGAGCAGAGACTTGATAAGCACTTGTATATTAAGGAATGTCCTTTTGGAACTCTCCCTCTTGCAGTGCTAACTTGAGACTGCCATGCTGTTAGGAAGTTCAAGTTCACCACATGGAGATGAAATAAGATATCATGATAAACATCCCCAGCTGATCCCAGCCTCCAGTGATCCATCAACTACATATATGATCCTAAGTCACATGTGTGACCCCGAGCAAGATCAGCAGAACAATCACTCAGCCAACCCACAGAACCCTGAAAAAATATAAATCATTATAGTTTAAACCACAAGTTTTGGGTAGCTTGTTATGCTGCTATTGATAATTAAAACAAACTGGAATATTTTCATCTAGATGGCAATCTACTCAATTGTTGAATCCTTTGTGTTTCCCTCTTTGCCCTGGTTGGTAAGAATCTCAGAGCTAAGTTGCGTGTTCATTGCTGTGTCTTTCTTCAACCAGGAATTCTCATCACAGTTGTTCCATTTCTCTTTCAGATTTTTGTCTTTTATATTAATTGGTTTGGGTCTTACTATACCTCTGGTTTTCTTTTAAACTGACTAAAATTATTTGGAAAGTAGCCAGGTTACCTGTAAAATAATAAATGAAGGTTTGCAGTGGATGAGTAAAAGAATAATGACTGCTAAAAGGAAAATAATAGTAATTATTAATATGTGACTACAACAAAATATTAATATATTTTTAAGCCAGGCTCTATTGTAAAATATTTTCATGCATCCTATTATTTAATTCATGCAGCAATTATGAACAAGTACTGCTATCCCCCATTTTACAGGTAAAGAAACTGAGGTACAAAGTTGTTGTGGCTTGCCCCAAAGTCTCATAGCTAGTCGGTGGCAGTGCCAGGGTACAATTCAGGTCTGCCCAATGTCAGAGCCCACATTCATGACCATTATGGAACATTTCTTCACAAGGCTTTTCTGTTGTGTTTAGCCTATTTTGCTGTTGTACCACAATTTACAAGACTCATGATTTGGCTCTCTGTTTGTCTGTTATTGGTGTATAAGAATGCTTGTGATTTTTGTACATTGATTTTGTATCCTGAGAATTTGCTGACGTTGCTTATCAGCTTAAGGAGATTTTGGGCTGAGACAATGGGGTTTTCTAGATACACAATCATGTCATGTGCAAATAGGGACAATTTGACTTCCTCTTTTCCTAATTGAATAGCCTTTATTTCCTTCTCCTGCCTAATTGCCCTGGCCAGAACTTCCAACACTATGTTGAATAGGAGTGGTGAAAAAAAAAAAAAAAAAAAAAAAGACAAGGAATTATCTCCTGTTAACTTTTAAGTATAAAACTTGTCATCGGGTTATTTAGTCTTGTAAAGAAAAGATTCAAAAGTCGGAAATGGAGCAGCTGTTCCTGAATCAGGCAAACATAGCATTCAAAGAAAATTAATTTTCTCCACTTTCATAAAAGAAATGCAAGCCCTAGTTTCTGATGCCACAATCATTGCAGTTAAGAAAGCCATTTTAATAACCTCATTTTGTCCTTTGATAGATGGATATTCTTTCAAATGTGTATTCTCAGAGAAACTAGTCCTTTTGCAAGACTGTCTAAATGCTCTGAAAAAAGTAAACTACTCTCTAAATAAAGGGCGTTATTGTTTGCATGTGATCCTCAAACTGTACAACCAACATATTGAATTTAGCTTTTATGCTTTTATTATTAAATGAGTACAAATTGGAAAGCAAGAGTACTGATTCTAATGATCAAGTGTGTTGAAAATTAATGAAAACCGTAAGTTTGAAAGAAGTTATTAGGCATGCCTAATGCGAACTACTTTTAACCCCAGAAGGATTAATTTTACTCTTAGGTGGTCAATTAAGAAGGAAAGGAACAAAATTTTAAAATGTGTGTTATGGAGCTAGGTCGTTGCATTTTGTATCAAAAAGGTAAAATATAAATCAGAAATTTACAATTTTTAGTTTTTACTTTATGAACAGGAAGTTGGGAATTGCAGCATTCTTTTACTTTATGTCTAACTCAAAAATTTGACAGCCTTAATGAGATTCAAAATTACATTTGTCAATTTCAATGTAAGTTCAGCCCTGAACTGTTATTTCATTAAAGTTAAATATGCCTTTTTGAGGGATATCTGCCATAGGATGGTCACTTTTCCAGTGTCTTTTATGTATATCCTGCCCAAAAGCAGGATGCTGGCCAGGTTGACCTCATGAGACTCACTCTGCCTGAAAGATTCCACTCTCCAATCAGTGAGACTGGCTTTCCATTCCCCAAAGTTAATTTGAACTTGAACAGTCCAGAAAAGTGAGGCGTTTCTCTGCCCTGATTTGTTCCTAATAACTATGTTCTCACAGGGCTAGGGCCCCTGCCAATCAGCAACCCCCATTCTGCCCCACACAAGTGCAGATACGAATCTGGCCCTACCTCTCTGGCTTTGTGTAGGCTGCAAGTGAGAGCTTTCACTGCACGAGGACAAAGCTTTCTGTTTCCTTTCAAATTGTCAATGACAAACACGCTGACAAAAATATTTTGGTACAGTTCTTTTAAATGTTCACTCTTAATGTAGTGTGGTAAGCTAATGTTTGCTAAAATAAACAAAGTGCTAAGAAAATTCTATCACTAGCAAAGCCATCACTCTATAGTTAATAATTCATGACTTGACCACCTCATAAATAATTGTTAGCCTTCTAATCTGAATGTGTGAATGGTGTGAAACAGGCCTTTCCCAAATCCCCCTTCGATATTTTGTCATCCCTGCTTGTGTGTTTTCTCCTCAGTATCATTAAATTTCAATCACCATGGATAGGGGGACAAAGTTCTGTTTACAAATTATTTCTTCTTCCCAAGGATAAGATAGTTCATGTAGGGAAAAGAAAGAGAAATCAGACTGTTACTGTGTCTATATAGAAAGGAAAGACATAGGAAAATCCATTTGGATAAAGACCTGTACTTTGAACAATTGCTTTGCTGAGATGTTGTTAATTTGTAGCTTTGCCCCAACCACTTTGCCCCAGCCACTTTGACCCAACCTGGAGCTCACAAAAACATGTGTTGTATAAAATCAAGGTTTAAGGGATGTAGGGCTGTGCAGGACGTGCCTTGTTAACAAAATATTTACAAGCAGTATACTTGGTAAAAGTCATCGCTATTCTCTAGTCTCAATAAACCAAGGGCAAAATGCACTGCGGAAAGCCACAGGGACCCCTGCCCTTGAAAGCGGGGTATTGTCCAAGGTTTCTCCCCATGTGATAGTCTGAAATATGGCCTTGTGGGATGAGAAAGACCTGACCACCCCCCAGCCCGACACCCATAAATGGTCTGTGCTGAGGTAGTTTAGTAAAAGAGGAGCCTCTTGCAGTTGAGATAGAGGAAGGCCACTGTCGCCTGCCTGCCCCTGGGAACTGAATATCTCAGCATAAAACCCAATTGTACATTTGTTCAATTCTGAGAGGAGAAAAACCACCCTGTGTTGGGAGGTGAGACATGTTTGTGGCAATGCTGCCTTGCTATTCTTTACTCCACTGAGATGTTTGGGTGGAGAGAAACATAAATCTGGCCTACGTGCACATCCAGGCATAGTACCTTCCCTTGAACTTAATTATGACATAGATTCTTTTGCTCACATGTTTTTTGCTGACCTTCTCCTTATTATCACCCTGCTCTCCTACTACATTCATTTTTGCTGAAATAATGAAAATAATAATCAATAAAAACTGAGGGAGCTCAGAGGCCAGTGCCAGTGCAGGTCCTTGGTGTGCTGAGTGCTGGTCCCTTGGGCCCACTGTTCTTTCTATATACTTTGTCTCTGTGTCTTATTTCTTTTCTCAGTCTCTTGTCTCACCTGACTAGAAATACCCACAAGTGTGTAGGGGCAGGCCACCCCTTCAGTTCAAAGGAAGAGAAATATCACCCTGTCCTTATTTTTTTAAAGTAAGCTCCACTAGTCCCCATGCTGAAGAGAGCAATTTCTTATATTGGTGAAGAACAAATGCAGGAAAAGTTCAGTAATTCTCCAAGGTTGTTGACAGCTTTTGCTCCCATCCTAGAATTCAAACCACAACAAAGAACCACTCCAAAGTTACCAAACTAAAGAGTTCTCAAATTTTAGTTAATAAGGTTTCTGCCTATCCCAAGTCCACCGGGTACCAGAAAATGTTTCTGTAAATGAAAAAAATAACATTTTAAATATATATTCTTCTCCATGCCCCCTAAACTATTATTTACTTTCAACTAAGAGAGAAGAAAAGAGAAAACAAAGATAGACCCCCCCCAGACTTGATCATTTTTCTACATAGATTTGGGAACTGGTAGCTGAATACAGAACAAGATAATTTGTGAAAATTTTGCAGTATAAGTAAAGTCATTGACTAGTCAGTATCTTTTTCTTCTAAAATTATAGCTATTGTTTTCAGGGTAAAGGGCTCAGAAGTGGGTAATGAACTTCTAAAACTGCTATTTGGTGTGACTTGGCTAAACTGTAAAGCTGAGAAAAAAAAAAAATCCATGCAAGCAGGTGCTACTGAAATGAATGCCATAAATGTGAGAGCTTTAAATCATAATGGCAAGAGTAATTAAACAGAAAGGTGACCAACAAACTTAGAAAAGGGCCAGGGATACGATATAAATAATTTGTTTCAGCTGCTAGCTTGCTCTTAGAAGTGATGTGGCATGTGCTATTTTTATCTCCAAAGGGAGAGCTTTTTTTCATCCTGTAATTTTTTTTATCCAAATTGAGTATGAGAGCTTTGAGGTGAAAGGAAAATAAAAACTTGCCAATGACTCTCACAGCTCGATTTTCCTTGTACAGCCACTTCAAATTGGAGGTGTTTCATCTAACCCATCAGGGGCTGCGGGCAAATTTAGAAGTCTAAAATCCAACCATTTTTCTGGAACTAAAAAGCAAAGATACTATTGTTGAGCCACTCTTAGGGGAACAGACATTTTGAATTGGTTGGAAATACAACATAGACATACTTATGTTTGTTGAATCCTCTTTCTTCTCCTACCCCAATCCAGAATCCCCCAGAACCCTTCCACACACACCCTCATTTCCACCCCCAAACCCCACCACCCCTGCTGCAGACTCAGAAAATTGCAGCTGCTACAATGGGTCTCTAGTCACATAGAGAAAGCCATGAAGAAAAATGAAAGGATGTAGCTTTAAATCCCAGTTCTGCCTCCTCTTAGCTCTATAACATTGGAAGAGTCACTTTTTGAGCCTTGGTTTGTTGTTTGGAAAATGAGGAAGCCATAATTTCTAACTTTTGGAGGTGTTGTGAGGATTCAGTCACATGATCCACAGAAAGCTCCTGACATGGGCCTATTAGGTATGAGGAATTTCAGGTTGACTACTGATCCTAGTTCCCATCTCCCCTCATTTCCTAACTCCATTTTTGCCATCCCCAGCAACGCTGAAGTAGAGTTAAGGGAGAGTGTAGAAGAAAAGAAAAGAGAGGAAACAGGAGGGCAGAGCAAGGACACAGGCCCTGGAGCAGTCACCGTTCTTCTCCCTTCTTTTCACCCTCATGTTAACAATAGCAAACAGTAACCACAGCATTAGTGGTAGTTAACACTTTTTGAGCACTTAGTGCATTCCTGACACCACATGCAGTATCTCATTTGATACTCACGAGAAATATTATTGTTTGTTCATCACAGATCACATTAGATTTTTTGCAGCCCTGCCTATTAATTATTCACACTGAGTCTCCCCTCAGTCTAAACCTTGAAGTCTCTTCACTTCTTATACTTGTACAGTTAGTGTTAAGCATGTCTTCTGTATTGTCATTCAAGTCATTCATAAAACAGATCTCTTTCTAAACACTGTCAGCTGGTCTTTGTCCTTGTAGGTGAGTCCTTTTGGATCGCCAGTGGAGTTTGGGGGACAAATTCTATAATATATTCCCACCATTTGTAGCAATTGTCTGGGAACACCAGCTGGTCCACCTCAAGGTTCTGGAGACCTTGAGGCCAAATGGGACTTACAGTTACTCCTTGACAGAAGGGATACCCCAACTCCATTAGAAACCATATGCAGGTGCATCCCCTCCCAATGAGGGTTGAGAGGTCCTCCTCGGGTCCACCTGGTCCTTGCCTGGTCAGCCCAGACTGAGCTCTCACAGCCACATTTAGACAATTATCTAATCTTAAATACTTAAACAAGTTGAATTTCTAATGGTTTTCCTTAGCCCCTTAGAAAGAACTTATTTCTGCTTTCTTCCTTTCCTCCTACCATCACCTGCCTCTCTCTGTCTCTCTCTGTCTCCCCACCCCCTCTCTCTCTCTCTCTCTCTCTCTCTCACACACACACACACGTGCGCGTGCACGCGCTGTCCCTGTGCCTCTCTCACATCTCCATAATAGAGTCGCCTGCTCTGTGTCTCCCTTGGTTTTCCTTCATAAGGGTCTCTCTCTGCTTCTCAGGGATGACAGTGTAAAACCTGCCTCAGCTCTCCCTTTTAAGAAGACTCAGCCAGCTTTCCTTCTCCTTGTTTCCCTCTCTTGCTTTTTCTTTGAACACTCTCTCATCCCTGTGGCTGGTGTAGTTTCCAAACTCCAGACAGATACTAATATTAGGGATTTGGAAATAAGATCAAAATTCTCCAGAATACCCTAAATCATAAATTGTGATTAAAATACTTCCCATATTCCTCATGTACTAGTTCATTAGGAAGATCAAAAAATTGTTCAATAGGTAAGATACATTGGTTTAGTAAGACTATTTACAAAGAATGTAGTCTAGATTGAATATATAAGTACTAGAAAAGTTGAATATTATTGAGTGGCTTTTAAATGATGTAACATTCTAATCTTTTAAGATTAACAGCTCTACACAGAACCATGTGTAGAGATCAATTGAATAACTTATTTTGTTTTCAAAACTTTTTATTTCTTGGAACACCACCCATAGGTTTAGTAGAGAGGATAAAGGATAACATGTGAAGAACCTTAACATTCACTTTAATTGTAAAAATTTACCATTAGTGACAGACAGCATCATGAACGTGCATTTATTACATGGCTACAGCTATGAGCAAAAGTGGTGAGACAGTGATTGTTTCTCCTCTTCTTGCCCCTTTCCCAGTTACTTGAAATGTTGACTTCGACCTTCAACTCTGCATGTCAGCTTTTCCTGCTCTTGCTTTCTTCTTGACGTTACTGCATTCCTTTCAGAAGTAATGTCTCTAAGTTGAATGTTAATCTTTTATTCTCACAAGAGAATTGCAATACTTCCCCCTCTCCATTTTTCTGATTTCTAAAACCCATTTTTCTCAGGATATGGGACTCAGAAAAAAATATACAATTTTCCCAAGAAATGCCAGAAGGGAACCCTCCCATGGAAACTGTTATGATGATGAATATCTATTGTTTTGGCCTAACCAAGAATAATTTCCCCTTCTTTTAGAAGGAGCACTGTGGTTTTTGTTTGTGGAACTTCCCTTTCCCACTCTGTGTGGCTGATAACCTTGGTGCCCCACTTCCGCAAGTAGCAAACAGATCTACCACATCCTTTCTGATGGTTTCATCCCAGTCCATTGACTATGTGTACTATGGCATAGTTACCTGGTCCCTTATTCAGACATGATTCGAGACATTTAGCAGCTATTAGTTGTGGGTATGGAGCTCCAGCTAAGATGTAAAGACAAGGTCAAAGGTACTAGATGCTGAGTCTTCTCATTGGCAAAAAAAGACAAGAAGACAAGATTCTAAAAGTTTCATTGGTTGCTGCTCTGCCCAAATTCCCAGATGTTTGTGGCATTCCAATAAATTGTTCACTTTGCTTGTTAGCAAGTTATTTTGTTTGAACCAGGAAAACCTAACTAATTCCAATGGCTAGGAAAATAGTCTCCAGAACTACTGGCTTGGCCAAGAAAGGTTTGATCAAATGTCCATACTATATCTGCTCAAGACATTAGGCTAATTTTCTCTCTTTCATTTGGACTTGAATCTTTTTGCTCCCTATATACATTTGGCCTAAAACAGATTTATCTTACTAACAGATTAGATATCCAGGATTTTGTTGTGAGACTTCACAGAGTGACTCAAAATGTCCGCCAACCACATAGCTTTGGTAATAGATCCTAGATTAATTTTTAGCTCAAGCAACAGGAAATTTCTCTTAGGCCTTAGGGCCTTACCATGCAGAAATATTTTTGTTGGTGCATATATTAGTCAGGATTGCCCAGAGAAACAGAATCAATAGGAGATGGATAGATACATGATTGATGGATTGAATGATAGAAAGGTAGATAAAAGAGATTATTATAAATCATTGGCTCATGCAATTATGGAGGCAGAGAAGCCCCACATTCTGCCACCTGAAAACTGGAGACCCAGGCAAGCTTTTGATGTACTTCCAAGGCCTGAGAGCAAGAGAGCCAATGGGGAGCCAATCAT
Organism: Homo sapiens; assembly: GCF_000001405.40. Classification (NCBI taxonomy): domain Eukaryota; kingdom Metazoa; phylum Chordata; class Mammalia; order Primates; family Hominidae; genus Homo; species Homo sapiens. Next base: position 50,351,961 of record NC_000011.10, read on the forward strand.
AATCCCGAAAGGCACAAGCCCCATCACTAGAATCCTGAATGTTGAAATCCCAAGAGATCAAAATCCCCAAAATGTACTTCTGGAGAAAATTAAAATTATCTAAAATATTTATTTACATTTTTAAAGGAGGATTTATCTAAGAAACATAAAAACATGAATGAATACTTCATAGGCCACTTTATGTGATAAAATAAGCAATAATATGCATATGTTTGCAAGTATAAACACTGAGATATGCTAACAACAGTCACATGGGTATAACAGTTATGAGCAGATGTACTGTATTCATAAAGAGGTCAAAAAGGGAAATGTATAAACACATATCACTATGGTTGGTAATTGTGTGCACCTAGCTTTATAACTGAGGTCATCTGAAATACCATGACCAACCACCTAAGTCTTTTGATGGGACCAATCAAAACCATCATTTACACCATACCCCAAAGAGCTAAGATCTTGAGAAATTCTATCTTTCACAATGTAGATGTACAGAAAAGATATCTCTTTATTTATTGAAGAAGTTTCAGTATTTTTATGTATATGCATAATGTTTAAACACAGTCCACATTGTGATAATGTACTTCATGGAATCAAATTTGAAAACGCATAAAAAGTATCAGAACTGTCTAAAAGTTTCTACACCATTTACACCTCCAGTATTGAAAATGATACAAAGATGAAATGCATAGTAAGTTGTAAAAATAGTACAATTTAAAATAGTAAAAAATATACTAAGAAAGAAAACTAAAACTAAAATTTGACATATGAAAAAGTGTATTATTACAAGGACAGATTGTGGGCAATTGCACAGAGACAATCCCTAAGAACTGGCGGACTTTCATGGTCATTAACTATATTTTGAAGTCTTTCATCACAATGAATATCTGCTTTTTTCTTTTAGGGCATGGCTCTCTTCAGATAATATGTTTACGTTCATTTCCTATGTGGCACTGCTCTTTTCAAAATTCTTCCATGATTCTATGTATACTGATATGAGCATTTCCTATTAAAGCTTTCTACCTTCTGTGCCATGCTTCTACGTTGTTTAGGGTTCACAGAAATCCATTTCACGTGCCCTCATAGACAGAACACAAGTTTGGCAGAAACAGTGCTGGTGATCGAACAGCAATGCCATTGTGAACATTACATCTTCTTATCCTACTGTGCACATAATAATTTTTGAACCAGTCAGTAAGCTTTACTGGCTTCTTCAAGCAAATTCAGCTTTAATTCATTAAAACCTCCTGAAATGTCATTAGTAGGAAGGTAAATGATGCATTTTTAAACTGAAGTTTTATTTGTTGCTGTATGCTGTGGCTAATCCACTCATTTGACTTTTCCACCAAATGCAAATAAAGACAATAAGAAGATAATAATTTTGCCTACATGATGTAACTATCCTGCATACAGCTTCCCAGAATTTGGCTTTCAGGATTTCAACATTTGGGATTTTAATCTTTTGGGATTGTGAATTTCACAATTTTAGACATTGGGAATTTTGATCTTTCAGGATTTAAACTTTTGGAATTTTGATCTTTTGGAATTTCACCATTCAGGATTATGGCATTTGGAATTGTGTCTTTCAGGATTATGATCCAAACGCAAGCCACTGATGTAAATTCCAGTCTAGAGCTGAACAGCTGAGACCTAGGAGTATCGAAGGCAGGAGAAGATAAATGTCACAATTCAGGAAGTTAGGCGGAGTTAATTCAAACTTCTACATTCTTGCTCTATTCAGGCCCTCAAAGGGTTAGATGATGCACACTCAACATTAGAGATGGCCATCTGCTTTATTAGTCCACCAGTTCAAATGCTATCTCTTCCAGAAACACCATCACAGACACTCCCAGATATTTTAACCAGGTATTTGGCCCCCTGGGGGCCAGAGAAGTTGACATATAAAATTAAGTATCACAGTGTGCATAGTATTTTTACTTTAAAATGTTGTGAAACTTAGCTTGTTAATTAAAAAGTCTGTGGATTCTACTTTTAAAAAATCTGGATTTCTATTTTCTTTTAAACAGGTAAAAATATCAAGAAATGCTGAGGCCCATGTCCCAGAACAACAGTCCTTTAGGTGGATCACACATTCTCCACTACACCAAGCTCTACTCAGTAAGTTTTGCTTCTTTGCACTTACCTGCCCAGCCCCTGTTGGTGACCAGGTTTGCAACATTTGCTCTGCGTGATCCAGTGGAGCAGAGAACTAGAGTTTGAAACTAAATCCTCATTTACATATACAATTTTCTTGTGCACCTAAAAGGATAATAGATGGCTGGTAAAGAATGGGATTCAAAAATTCAGTATTCTGGGTCCAGGTCAACTTCTAATTTTTCCTCAGATCCGTTAGGCATGTGATGCATGCTGTAGGTAGCTCCTCTCCACTAAATTACCCGAGCATCCATGGGTGGATACTTCTTCCTTCTTCCTTCTCCCATGGTGCTCTGTCACCCTCCAGTGTGTTTCTCACCTACCTAGGTAAGAATGGTTCACACTATGTATCCAAGTTCCTGTTCATGGTGAGGAGGAAAGAGAGAAAGTAAAGAGGAAACAAATTGTATTTAAGGAGGTGGCTCAGCAGGTCTGCCTGTCACTTCCACTCTTGCTCCATTGGTGAGAGCTTAGTCACAAAGCATCGCTTAGCTCCTGGGAAGCATTTCTAATATTTCTAATAGGCAGCCATGTGACCTGCCAAAAAGCAGTGAGGGGCTATCACTCAAAGGAGAAAAGAGCAAATGCAAACTGGAGAATAATTGCTGTTCCCTGCTTTAATGGTCCTTTAGGGGGAAAAAAGGGGAGACAGGCCTTTTTTTCTCAGCAAACCCTTGAACATATATACACACACACACACACGCACACACACGCACGCACACACACACACACACACACACACACACACACATAACCACCACAGCCAACAACATCTATCTATATGCCCTGAATATTCACCATTTTTTTTAAACCAAACTGCAACAAACAGTGAAATTATGAGGAAATTATTTTCTTATTAACTTCATTGGACAAGAAACTCTGGCTTTCAATGCCTCTTTACAGTTCTTCCTTTTATTTATTCACATAATGGGTAAGACTTCTAATTTAATCAGTATGAAAATTAGACGTTTCCTGAAATGTTTGGAGTTGAAGAAGTCCCTCCTCATTCAATGTTTATATTTAAAAAAGAACTGACCTTAAAAAAAACCCATAAAGCTCTAGTCTATAGATAAGTACCCATGTTTGTGTATTTAAATAGAGCCTGTCATATCCATTACATCCATCAGAAAAGATGAGAGAGAAAAGCATAGTCAGGCAGTGATCTTTAATTGTTTCTTCAAATCTTTGATTAGAATTGCCTAAAATCCTTTCTCACCCAATACCATACCTGCATACAACATTTATTTATTTATTTATTTATTTATTTATTTATTTATTTATTTATGAATCCCTAGTTTTCAGGGAAACTCAGACAAACATATAAATATGAGTAAGCACTGTGATAAGTGCTGTGTATGGAATACTGTTGAATTAGGGTAAGGGAATGAATAATTAATTTGTCTGGGTGAACATTCCATTGTACCATAATTTATTTTTAATTAATTATTTATTTATTTATTTAGTTTATTATTATTATACTTTAAGTTTTAGGGTACATGTGCACAACGTGCAGGTTTGTTACATATGTATACATGTGCCATGTTGGTGTGCTGCACCCTTTAACTCGTCATTTAGCATTAGGTATATCTCCTAATGGTATCCCTCCCCTCTCCCCCAACCCCACAACAGTCCCCAGTGTGTGATGTTCCCCTTCCTGTGTCCATGTGTTCTCATTGTTCAATTCCCACCTATGACTGAGAACATGCGGTGTTTGGTATTTTGTCCTTGCGAGAGTTTGCTGGGAATGATGGTTTCCAGTTTCATCCATGTCCCTACAAAGGACATGAACTCATCATGTTTTATGGCTGTGTAGTATTCCATGGTGTATATGTGCCACATTTTCTTAATCCAGTCTATTGTTGTTGGACATTTGGGTTGGTTCCAAGTCTTTGCTGTTGTGAATAGTGCCACTATAAAAAATTAATTCAAGATGGATTAAAGGCTTACATGTTAGACCTAAAGCCATAAAAACCCTAGAAGAAAACCTAGGCAATACCATTCAGGACATAGGCATGGGAAAGGACTTCATGTCTAAAACACCAAAAGCAATGGCAACAAAAGCCAAAATTGACAAATGGGATCTAATTAAACTAAAGAGCTTCTGCACAGCAAAAGAAAATAGCATCAGAGTGAACAGGCAACCTACAGAATGGGAGAAAGTTTTTGCAACCTACTCATCTGACAAAGGGCTAATATCCAGGATCTACAATGAACTCAGATAAATTTACAAGAAAAAAACAAACAACCCCATCAAAAAGTGGGCAAAGGATATGAATAGACACTTCTCAAAAGAAGACATTTATGCAGCCAAGAAACACATAAAAAAACATTTATTTTTGAAAACATACAAGCTACCACCTATGATTTTTATTCCACTGGAAACTTTTAAGGAAATTTTACATTTAAAGCCAGTTTTTTTTTTTTGTTATACTTTAAGTTTTAGGGTATATGTGCACATTGTGCAGGTTAGTTACATATGTATACATGTGCCATGCTGGTGCGCTGCACCCACTAACTCGTCATCTAGCATTAGGTATATCTCCCAATGCTATCCCTCCCCCCCTCCCTCCACCCCACCACAGTCCCCAGAGTGTGATTTTCCCCTTCCTGTGTCCATGTGATCTCATTGTTCAATTCCCACCTATGAGTGAGAATATGCGGTGTTTGGTTTTTTGTTCTTGCGATAGTTTACTGAGAATGATGATTTCCAATTTCATCCATGTCCCTACAAAGGACAAGAACTCATCATTTTTTATGGCTGCATAGTATTCCATGGTGTATATGTGCCACATTTTCTTAATCCAGTCTATCATTGTTGGACATTTGGGTTGGTTCCAAGTCTTTGCTATTGTGAATAGTGCCGCAATAAACATACGTGTGCATGTGTCTTTATAGCAGCATGATTTATAGTCCTTTGGTTATATACCCAGTAATGGGATGGCTGGGTCAAATGGTATTTCTAGTTCTAGATCCCTGAGGAATCGCCACACTGACTTCCACAATGGTTGAACTAGTTTACAGTCCCACCAACAGTGTAAAAGTGTTCCTATTTCTCCACATCCTCTCCAGCACCTGTTGTTTCCTGACTTTAAAGCCAGTTTTTTAAGATGACTCAAAGAACATCTTTATTTCCTCTTCACAAGGAGCCATCGCATGCACACTATTTTCAAGCTTTGTGCGGGTCCCAGAAATCTCATTTTCAGAGCCACAGTGTATAATACAGAGTCACTGATGCTCTGGTTAAAGCAGGGGTTGTCAACCTGGAGCTCTGACCACTGAACATCTCTGTCACCTGACAAAGAAGTCCCTGCAACCTCTTTGAGGAGTCCCCTGACCCTCTGTGAGCATGTCTGAATCCATGCTGCATTGACTCTTTATTCCTGGATTGAGTAAAAGGGAGAAAACAATCAGGAAAACTTATAAATTTTCTATGTAACACCAATGCAACTTTCCATTCTGTTATTTCAATGTAATAGGAAGAAATCAACCAGATCAAGCTTTACACAGACAAAGCAATGATGTGCTAGGAGACGTGTGGAGTTTCGTGTTTCCACTGGACTTGCTAATCTCGTATAGTCACAGCCCTCTTCTGACCTGTATCTGGTTATATGTGAAGCAGAGGCTGTGTTGAGATGTAGTGAGATCATCATCTTTTATTAAATAAGAGGCTTTGGAAGCTTGGTTTCCCCATGTGCAGACAGGGCAATCCCAGTGCTTTCTTGGCCTGGGCATAGGACTCATTCCCTTGCTTGCTCACCCTTACCAGAGAGACATCTCTGTCCACCCTATTTAAATTGCACCCACCTTTCCTTCTGGCATCCTCTGTCTTTTTTATATAGTTATATATATCATATTTTTATGTTTATATATATAAACATTTTTGAGACAGGTTAGCTCTGCCACCCGGGCTGGAGTCCAGTGGTGTGATTACATTTCACTACAGCCACAACCTCTCTGGCTCAAGCAATCTTCCCAAGGCAGCCTCCTAAGTAGGTGGGACTATAGGTGTATGCTACCACATCCAGCTAATTTTTTAAAGTTTTTTGTAGAGACGGGGTCTCACTATGTTGCCCAGGCTGGTTTTGAACTCCTGGGTTCATGTGATCCTCCTGCCTCAACCTCCCAAAGTGCTGGGATTACAGATGTAAGCCTCCCTTTGACATTCTCTATCCTTATCCTGCTTCATTTTTCTCCATACGGCTTCTCATCACTTGATGCTGTATATATTTATTTGTTTATCATCTCTCTCTCATCAGAATTCAACATCATAAGAACAGAAACTTTATTTCATTTTGTTTGCTACTATCTCCCTGGAGCTGAGAAGACTTTCTGTCATGTAGTAAGTGGGCAATAAAGTAAGTTAGTTGTTGAGCGAACCATGAGATCGTTGTGGAAAACCTGAGAATATGTATAAAATGTTCCACACGGTACATGGCACAAAGACCCTTGACACAAATTAGTTATTTTTGTTACTGTCATCACTTTTAGACAGATACTCTAAGAATGATGACTATGATCTCATCCAGGTCTTCATGGCTTAGTGGATCTCTTTAATACACTCCCTAAGTTACAACTGCGATTCCCAGAACAGTAAAAGGAAGTAGGTGTAGCATTCTACAATTCTGGAGTCAGCACATGAGGTAAGAAAAAAATCACATATATTATGAATTGTCATTGAAGATTATTTAGGAAGACACTACATAAAAGTTCAATGTGCCATTTTTCTCTAAACCCAACCCAAACAGGTTTTCTTCCTTCATCATAAGAGTAATATGTTTAAACACCAGTGTTTTTCAAGAGGGTGAGATGCTCATACAGTAGGTGCTGAGATGAAATGTGAGGGGTGAAGAATCAAGTGTCTTCTAAGTCACTCTGGCTAAGTCACTTCATAGATGTGAAGATGGGCCAGCATTATCATCATTGCTTCATTTATGGGTTTATTCTGTCTTGGTCTTGGGCTCTCTCTCTTCTCCCTTCCACTCCACCTACTCCTTCTCTTTTTGCCAGGCATGCAGTTGAAATAGTCTGAGTTAAATGTGTGTGTTTATAGACTCAGAAGCAGTGTCATATAAGACTGTTTTGCTCAGATCATTTTCTGGTTGGAAGGACCTTTAGAAGACATCAGACCATTTTATTTTACACAAGATCCACAAGAAAAGTGGAGATAATTTGTCTAAGTCACACAGTGAGAGAGAGTTCCAGTGCTAGAAGCCAGTTCTGTGGCTCCCTAATCTGAGGAATTTTCTTCATCTTTCTCAGCTGCCTTCTAATGTGTCCCATGTAACACTGTCATTCCCCTTTCACTCTTTCCCCTTTCCAAACCATTCAACCATTCACCAAAGGGAGTGCTATGGCCTTTAGTTCTTCTCCACTTTGCTCAGGACCGAAGCATCCTCCAATGAAGGCAGCATCCTCTGCTTCTCCCTGTAACTTCTTCCGGCTCTTCCCCCTTCCTCACTGCCTCAGGAATCAGTTGTATTTCCACACAGCCTCCTGAAACTGACTCACTGCTCTGTAATCGGGCCAGTGCCTGCCTACTGCATCCTTTGGCAGCTGCTGTCATTCTTCGTGGGAGACATCATTCATGATGCCCCTGGCACATCATGACAAAACTCCAATGAGTCTATTATTTTCTTTTTGAGTCATGTTGAACAGGGGCAACTTCCTCACACAAAGATCAGGAAACACATCCAGACAGACAGCACTAATGGATAGTGCAGAGGACTTAGAAACTCCAACCATATAAACAAATCTGCATTTCTGAAATAATAAGCATTCACATATAATGCCAGATGTGTGGATTCATCTTACAGAGTTAAACCTTTCTTTTGATTCAGCTGATTGAAGACACTGTTTTTCTAGAATCTGCAAATGGACATTTGAAAGCCCTTTGAAACCTATGGGTAGAAACAGAGTATCCCTAGAAAAAACTAGAAAGTGGCTATGTGTGAAACTGCTTTGTGATATGTGGATTCATCTCACAGAATTAAACCTTTCTTTTGATTCAACAGGTTGGAAACACTCATTTTGTAGAATCTGCGAATTTACATGTGGGAGCCCATTGAGGCCTTTGGGGAAAATCTGAATATACACAAATAAAAACTAGAACAAAACTGTCTGTGAAACTGTTTTGTGATGTGTCGATTAATCTCACAGATTTAAAGATTTCTTTTAATTCAGCAGGTTGGAAAAACAGTTTTTGTAGTATTTGTGGAAGGACATTTGGGAGCCCTTTGTGGTCTATGGGAAAAACACAATATCCCAAAATAAAAACTAGAAAAAAGCTATCTGTGAAACTGCTTTGTAATGTGTGGATTAACCTCAAGGGTTAAGCCTTTCTTTTGATTCAGCAGGTTGGAAACACTCTTTTTATAGAACTTGCAAAGGGACGTTTGGGAGCCTGTTGAATCCTATGTGGAAAAAGTGAATATCCCCAGATAAAAGCTAGAAAGAAGCTATCTGTGAAACTCCTTGGTGATGTGTGGACTCATCTCACAGAGTTAAATGTTTCTTTTGATTCAGCAGGTTGGAAACACTCTTTTTGTAAGATCTGCAAAGGGATGTTTGGGAGGCCATTGATGTCTATGGGGAGAGAGTGAATTTCCCCAGATAGAAACTGGAAAGAAGCCTCTGTGAAAGTGCTTGTTGATGTGTGTATTCATCTCACAGATTTAAACATTTCCTTTGATTCAGCAGGTTGGAAACTCTCTTTTTGTCAAATCTGTGAAGAAACTTTTGGGATCCCAATGAGGTCTACAAGAAAAAACAAATATCCACAGATGAAAACTAGAAAGAAGCTGTGAAACTGCTTGGTGATGTGCAGATTCATCTCGCAGTGTTAAATCTTTCTTTTCATTCAGCAGGTTGGAGACACGCTTTTTGCAGAATATATGAAGGAACATTTTGGAACCCATTGAGGACTATGTGGAAAAACCAAATATCCCTAGAAAAAAACAAGTAAGAAGCTATCTGTGAAATGGCCTGGTCATGTGTGGATTCATTTCACAGAGTTAACTTTTCTTTTGATTCAGCAGTTTGGAGACACTTTTATATATATATATATATATATATATATATATATATATATATATATATATATATATATATAATCTGTGAAGGGACATTTTGGAGCCCATTGAGGCCTATAGGGAAAAACAGAATATCCGCAGAAAAAAAAACTTCAAATAAGGGATCAGTGAAACTACTTGTGATGTGTGGATTCATCTCACAGAATTAAACCTTTCTTTTGATTCAACAGCTGGAAACAGTCTTTTTGTAGAATCTGCAAAGGGACATTTGAAGGCCCATTGAGGCCTGGGGTTAAAACAAATATCATCAGATAGAAACTAGAAAGAAGCTATCTGTGAAACTGCTTTGTTGTGTGTGGATTCATCTCATAAAGTTAAACCTTTCTTTTGTTTCACCAGGTTGGAAAGACTCGTTTTGTAGAATCTGTGAAGGGAAAATCAAACCCCTTTGAGGCCTATGGGGAAAAACCAAATATCTCCAGATAAAAACTAGAAAGAAGCTATCTGTGAAACTGCTTTGTGATGTGTGGATTCATCTCACAGAATTAAACCTTTCTTTTGATTCAACAGGTTGGAAACACTCATTTTGTAGAATCTGCCAATGGACATTTGGGAGTCCATTGAGGCCTATGGGGAAAAACAAAATATCCTCAGATAAAAACTAGAAAGAAGTTATCTGGGAAACTGATTTGTGATGTGTGGAATCATCTCACAGTGTTAAACTTTTCTTTTGATTCAGCACATTGGAACCACTCTTTTTGTAGAATCTGCAAAGGGACATTTGGGAGCCCTTTGAGTCCTATGGGGTAAAACAGAATATCCTCGGATAAAAACTAGAAAGGAGCCATCTGTGAAACTGCCTGGTGATGTGTGGATTCATCTGACAGAGTTAAAACTTTCTTTTGATTCAGCAGGTTGGAAACACTCTTTTTGTAGAATCTGCAAAGAGACATTTCAGAGCTTGTCAAGGCCTGTCGGGAAAAAATGAATATCCTCAGATAAAAGTAGAAAGAAACTATATGTGAAGCTCCTTTGTGGCGTGTGCATTCCTCTCACAGAGTTAATCCTTCCTTTTGTTTCAGCAGGTTGGAAACACTCGTTTTGTAGAATCTGTGAGGAGACATTTGGGAGGCCATTTTGACCCATGGGGAAAAACCAAATATCCCCAGGTAAAAACTAGAAGGGAGAAATCTGTGAAACTACTTGGTGATGTGTGGATACATCTCACAGAGTTAAATCTTTCTTTTGATTTAGCAGGTTGGAACACTCTTTTTGTAGAATCTGTGAAGGTACATTTGGGAGTTCATTGTGTCCAATGGAAAAAAACTGAATATTCCCAGATAAAAGCTATAATGAAGCTATTAGTGAAACTGCTTTTTGGTGTGTGGATTAATCTTAGAGAGTTAAACTTTTCTTTGAATTCGGCAGATTGGAAACAGTTTTTTTGTAGAATTTGCAAAATGGCATTTGGGAGCCCATTGAGACCTATGGGAAAAACCCAAATGTCCCCAGATAAAAACTAGAAGGAAGCTATCTGTAAAACTGCTGGGTGACTTGTGGATTCACCTCACAGAATTACATCCTTCTTTTTACTCAGCAGCGTGGAAACATTCTTTTTTTAGAATCTGTGAAGGGTCATTTGGGAGTCCATTGAAACCTACAGGGAAAAACCGAATAGGCCCAGATAAAAAGTAGAAAGAAGCTATCTGTGAAACTGCTTGGTGATATGTGGATTCAGCCCACAGAGTTAAACCTTTATTTTGATTCAACAGGTTGGAAACACTCTTTTTGTAGATTCTGTAAAGGGATATTTGGGATTCCATTGAAGCCTATGGGGAAAAAACGATTATCCCGTATAAAAACTAGAAAGAAGCTATGTGTGATACTGCTTTGTGATGTGTGGATCCATCTCAAAGTGTTAAACTTTACTTTTTATTAAGCAAGTTGGAAACACTCTTTTTGTAAAATCTGAGAAGGAAATTTTCAAAACCCATCAAAACCTATGAGGAAAAACTGAATATTTTCAGATAAAAACAAGAAAGAAGTTATCTGTGAAACTGCTTAGCAATGAGTGGATTCATCACACAGAGTTAAAACTTTCTATTGATTAGTAGATTGGGAACACTCTTTTTGTAGATTGTGTGAAGGGATTTTTAGGAGCCTGACGAGGCTTATGGGGAAAAACTGAATGCCCCAGATAAAAACTAGAAAAAAAGCTATCTGTGAAAGTGCTTTGTGATTTGTCATTTCATCTCACAGAGTTATACCTTTATTTTGATTCAGAAGATTGTAGGCACTTTTTTTTGTAGAATCTCTGAAAGGGATTTGGGGGACAATTTAGGCCTATGGAGAAAAACCACATATCCCAAAATAAAAATTGGAAAGAAGTTATCTGTGAAACTGCTTTGTGATGTGTGGATTCATCTCACATAATTAAACCTTTCTTTTGATTCAGCAGGTTGGTAACAGACATTTTGTAGGATCTGCGAAGAGACATTTGGGAACCCATTGAGGCCTATGGGGAAAAATGGAAAATGCCCAGCTAAAAACTAGAAAGAAGCCCTATGTGAAGCTGCTTTGTGATGTGTGGATTTATCTCACAAAGTTAAGCCTTTCTTTTGATTAAGCAGGTTGGAAACACTCTTTTTGTAGCATAAGTGAAGTGACATTTTAAAGCCCATTGAATCCTACAAGGAAAAACCGAATATCCTGAGATAAAAAATAGAAAGAAGCTATCTGTGAAACAGCTTTGTGATGTGTGGATTCATTAACAGAGTTAAACCTTCCTTTTGATTTAGCAGGTTGGAAACACTCTCTTTGTAGAATATGTGAAGAAACATTTGGGAGCCAATTGAGGCCTATAGTGAAAAACCGAATATCTGCAGATAAACACTAGAAAGAAGCTATATGTGAAACTCCTTGGTGATGTGTGGATTCATCTCACAGAGTTTAACCTTTCCTTTGGTTCACTAGGTTGAAAACACTCTTTTTGTAGAATTTGTGAAGGAACATTTGGGAGCCCATTCATGCTTATGGAAAAAAAAAACCAAATATCCCCAGATAAAAACTAGAAGGAAGCTATCTGTGAAACTGCTAGGTGATGTGTGGATTCATGTCACAGAGTTAAAACTTCCTTTTGACTCAGCAGTTTGGAAATATTTTTTTGTAGAATCTGTGAAGGGACATTTTGGAGTCCATTGATGCCTGTGGGAAAAAATCAAATATCCCCAGATAGAAACTTGAATGAAGCTATCTGTGAAACTGATTTGTGATGTGTGGATTCATCTAACAGAGTTAAAACTTCCCTTTGATTCACAGGTTGAAAACACTCTCTTTGTAGAATCTGCAAAGGAACATTTCGGAGCCCATTGAAGCATTAAGAATAATCCGAATATCCTGA